>NT_167244.2:3786278-3812954 GCF_000001405.40 Homo sapiens
GGCCAGTTTCTTCCATTTGGAATGGGTACATTTATTCAATGCCTGTACCCTCATTGTGTCTAAGAAGTAACTAGCTTGCTTTTGATTTTACAGGCTCATAGGCAGAAGGGACTTGCCTTGTCTCAGATGAGAATTTGGACTGTGGATTTTGAGTTAATGTAGAAATAAGACTTTGGGGTACTCTTGAGAAGGCATGATTGGTTTGAAATATGAGGGCATGAGATTTGGGAGGGGCCGGTGGTGGAATGATATGGTTTGGCCCTGTCCCCACCCAAATCTCACCTTGAATTGTAGGTCCCATAATACCCACATGTTGTGGGAGGGACCTGGTGGGAGGTAATTTAATCATGGGGTAGGTCTTTCCCGTACTATTCTTGTGATAGTGAATAAGTCTCATGAGATTTGATGGTTTTATGAAGGGGAGTTTCCCTGCCCAAGTCCTCTTCTCTTGTCTGCTGCCATGTGAGATGTGCTTTTCACCTTCCACCATGATTGTGAGGCCTCCCCAGCCATGTGGAACTGCGAGTCCATTAAACCTCCTTCTTTTGTAAATTGCCCAATCTCAAGTATGCCTTTATTAGCAGCATGATAATGGACTAATATAAATGAATATATATTTAAGAAATGGATAAATTCCTGGACACATACACCCTCTCAAGACTGAACCAGGAAGAAACTGAATTCCTAAACAGACCAATAATGAGTTCTGAAATTGAGTCAGTAATAAAAAGCCTACCAACCAAAAAAAGCCTGGGACCAGATGGATTCACAGCTGAATTCTACCAGATGGATAAAGAAGACCTGGTCCTATTCCTATTAAAATTATTCCAAAAAAATTGAGGAGAAGGGATTACTCCCCAATTCATTCTGAGGCCAGCATCATCCTGATACCAAAACCGGGCAGAAACAACAAAAAAAGAAAATTTCAGGCCAATATTCTTGATGAACATAGATGCAAATATCCTTAACAAAATACTAACAAACCAAATCAAGCAGCACATCAAAAGCTAATGTACCACGATCAAGTAGATTTTACCCCTGAGATGCAAGGTTAGTTCAACATATACAAATCAACAAATGTGATCCATCACATAAAGCAGAATGAAAGGCAACAACCACCTGATCATCTCAATAGATGTGGAAAAGGCTTTTGATAAAATTCAACAGCACTTCATGTTAAAAATGCTCAGTTCACGCCTGTAATCCCAGCACTTTGGGAGGCTGAGGTGGGCAGATCACAAGGTCAGGAGATTGAGACCATCCTGGCCAACATGGTGAAACCTTGTCTCTACTAAAAATGAAAACTTAGCTGGGCATGGTGGCATGCGCCTGTAGTCGCAGCTACTCAGGAGGCTGAAGCAGGAGAATCGCTTGAACCCAGAAGGCGGAGGTTGCAGTGAGCCAAGATCCCGCCACTGCACTCCAGCCTGACAACAGAGAAAGACTCCATCTTAAAAAAAAAAAAAAACCTCAGTAAACTAGGCATTGGAGGAACATACTTCAAAATAATAAGAGCCATCAATGACAAAGCCACAGCCAACAACATAGTGAATGGGCAAAAGCTGGAAGCATCACTCTTGAAAATCAGCAGGAGACAAGGATGCCCTCTCTCACCACTGTTTTTTTTTTTTTTTTTGGAGACAGAGTCTTGCTCTGTTGCCAGGCTGGAGTAGTGCAGTGGCGCGATCTCAGCTCACTGCAATCTCCGCTTCCCAGGTTGAAGCAATTCTCCTGCCTCAGCCTCCCAAGTAGCTGGGACTACAGGCACATGCCACCACGCCTGGCATTTTTTTTTTTTTTTTTTTTTTAGTAGAGACCAGGTTTCATCATGTTAGCCAGGATGGTGTTGATATCCTCACCTCGTGATCCACCCACCTCAGCCTCCTAAAGCACTGGGATTACAGGTGTAAGCCACTGTGCCCGGCCCTCCCTCACCATTCTTATTCAAGATAGTATTGGAAGTCCTGACCAGAACATCAGGCCAGAGAAAGAAATAAAGGGCATTCAAAGAGGAAGAGTGGAAGTCAAACTATCCCTGTTTGCAGATGATATGATCCTGTGTCTAGAAAACCCTAAATCTCCAAATCTTGGCCCAAAAGTTCCTTTAGCTGATAAACAACTTCAGCAAAGTTTCAGGATAAAAAAAATCAACATATAAAAATCAGCAGCATTCCTATACACAAAGAACACTCAAGCTGAGACCCATATCAAGAACATAATCCCACTCACAATTTCCACACACACACATATTACCTAAGAATACAGCTAACTATGGAGATGAAAGATCTCTACAAGAAGAACTACAAAACACTGCTCAGAGAAATCAGAGATGACACAAACAAATGGAAAAAATTATCATTCTCATGGATAGGAAGACTCAATATCATTAAAATGGCCATACTGCCCAAAGTAATTTATAGATTCAATGCTATTCCCATTAAACTACCACTGACAGTCTTCACAGAACTAGAACAAACTATTTTAAAATTCATATGGAAGCAAAACAGAGCCTAAATAGCTAAGGCAATCCTAAGCAAAAGAATAAAGTAAGAGTTACTATGTTGCTCAACTTCAAACTATACTATGAGGCCACAGTAACCAAAACAGCATGGTACTGGTACAAAAGCAGACACACAGACAAATGGAACAGAATAGAGAGTCCAGAAATAATGCTGTACAACTCCAACCATCTGATCTTTGACAAAGATGACAAAAACAAGCAATGAGGAAAGGACTCCTCATTCAATAAACGGTGCTGTACTAACTGGCTAGCCATATGCAGAAGACTGAAGCTGGACTGCTACCTTACACCATATACAAAAATCAACTTAAAATGAATTAATGACTTAAATGTAAAACCTAAAATCATAAAAACCCTGGAAAGTAACCTAGAATATACCATTCTGAACATAGGACTTGGCAAAGATTTCATGGCAAAGACACCAAAAGCAATCACAACAAAAACAAAAATTGACAAATGGGACCTAATTTAACTTAAGAGCTTCTGTGCAGTAAAAGAAACTATCGACAGAGTAAATAGAAAACCTAGAGAATGGAGAAAATGTCAAGTCCTAATTCGGGAAAAGGAGTCAGGCTGGTGGGACCAGAAGAAAGCAAAGAGGTAAAACAAATAAGCTGTAAGTCTGTCTTTCCTCATGGTCCAGAACACACAGCCCTCCTGTGCAAATAACTCACAGTCTTCCCGTGCCCAACTATCATCAGACATCTATAAACTAGCTCACTGCAACCCTGGCATTGTTGCTACTGCACATAGCACTCTGCAGCCTAAGAACCATCCTATAAAATCTCCTGCAAGCCTTTGTTTCCGTGCAGTCAGCTTCTCTTCTGCTGGCCTGCCTGCCTGTTGCCTCCTTGCAACATATTTTCCTACTTTCTCTAATAAATCTGCTTTTTTTTTCTACCTACAACTGTCTTGGTAAATTCTTTTACCCTGGCGCCACTGGCCCAGATAGTTATTGCTCACCTGCAACAGAAAATATTTGCAAACTATGCATCTGACAAAGGTCTAATATCCAGAATCTATAAGGAACTTAAACAAATTTACAAGAAAAAAACCAAACAACCTCATTAAAATATGGGCATGAACAGACATGAACAGACACTTTTCAAAAGAAGACATACATGCAGCCAACAAACATAGGAAAAAATTCTCAACAGCACTAATTATTAGAGATATGCAAGTCAAAATCACAATAAGATACCATCTCATACCAGTGTGAATGGCTACTATTAAAAAGTCAAAAAATAACAGATGCTGGTGAGGTTGCAAGGAAAGAGAATGCTTATACACTGCTAATAGAAATGTAAATTAGTTCAGCCATTGTGGAAAGCAGTGGGGTGCAAAGAACTAAAAAGAAAATTACCATTTGATTCAGCAATCCCATTACTGTGTATATACCTAAAGGGATATAAACCATTCTACCATTAAGACACATGCACACATATGTTCACTGCAGCACTGTTCACAATAGCAAAGACATTGAATCAACCTAGATGCCCATCAACAGTGGACTGGTTAAAGGAAACGTGGTACATATACACCATGGAATACTATGCAGCCATAAAAAGAATGAGATTCTGTCCAGAATTGGTTCCTTCCGGTGGGTTCTTGGTCTCGCTGACTTCAAAAATGAAGCCATGAACCCTCGTGGTGAGTGTTACAGTTCTTAAAGATGGTGTGTCCGGAGTTTGTTCCTTCAGATGTTCAAATGTATCCCAAGTTTCTTCCTTCTGGTGGGTTCGTGGTCTTGCTGATTTCAGGAGTGAAGCCGCAGACCTTTGCTGTGAGTGTTACAGCTCTTAAAGGTGGTGCATCTGGAGTTGTTCATTCCTCCCAGTGGGTTTGTGGTCTCGCTGACATCAGGAGTGAAGCTGCAGACTTTCACAGTGAGTGTTACAGCTCTTAAAGGTGGTGCGTCCTGAGTTGTTCGTTCCTCCTGGTGGGTTTGTTGTCTTGCTGGCTTCAGGAGTGAAGCTGCAGACCTTAGCAGTGAGTGTTACAGCTCATAAAGGTAGTGCGGACCCAAAGAGTGAGCAGCAGCAAGATTTATTGCAAAGAGTGAAAGGACAAAGCTTCCACAGTGTGGAAGGGGACCTGAGTGGGTTGCAGCTGCTGGCTGGGGTGGCCAGCTTTTATTCCCTTATTTGGCCCTGTCCACATCCTGCTGATTGGTCCATTTTACAGAGTGCTGATTGGCACGTTTGCAAACTTTTAGCTAGACACAGAGCACTGATTGGGGCATTTCTACAGAGTGCTGATTGGTGCGTTTACAAACCTTTAGCTAGATGCAGAGTGCTGATTGGTGTGTTTTCACAGAGTGCTGATTGGTGCTTTTACAATCCTTTAGCTAGACAGAAAAGTTCTCCAAGTCCCTGCCCAACCCAGAAGCCCAGCCAGCGTCACCTCTCAAGATCATGTCCTTTGCAGGAACATGGATGGAGCTGGAGGCCATTATCTTATGCAAACTAACATAGGGACAAAAAACCAAATACCACATGTTCTCACTTATAAGTGGGAACTAAACATTGAGTACACATGGATACAAAGAAGAGAACAGTAGATATGGGGACCTACTTGAGGGTGAAGGATAGGAGGAGGGAAAGGATCAGGAAAAATACCTGTGAGATACTATGCTTATTACCTTGGTGATGAAATTATCTGTACATCAAACACACCTGACATGCAGTTTACCTATAGAGCAAACCTGTACATGTATCCCTAAAACTAAAATAAAAGTTTAAAATAAAAAAGAAAGAAATTAGTTGAATACTTTTTTCTCAGTGAAATGCTTATGCAAACAAATATCATACACTTTTATTTCAGAGATTTCGGGATCATAAAGGGTGTGTACCAAGGACAGTTTGTGACTAGCCTCCTCACATTATCCCTCACATTATCATTTCTCATCTCTTCTCCCCTAAACTTTCATGCCAACAGCAGACTAGGTAAGTTTCCCTTTCCTGCATCTCTAATGATTCAGGGCGATTAAGGTCTCCTTCTCCAGCCCCCTGCACCACCATTCCCACCCCCATCTCATCTCATCTCTGCCCAGAAGGCTGGAAGGACAAGCTGAAGCTCCCTCCTGTGTTCCCTCCCACAGCAGACACACAGACAAATCCCCACTCTACACTCACCTACCTGAGCCCTCCTAATTCCTTCTGGCTCACAATCCTACACCCTCCCACAGGGTGCTTACGTGTGCATACACACACACTCCCTGTTCTCAGGGACCCTACTGCCCTCCCCCACCCGCCTTGCTCACCTCGCCTGTGCATGGAGAAGCTCTCAAAAACCCCGTAGTTGTGTCTGCAGTAGGTGTCCAACAGACCCCGCAAGCAGCCCAAGAGGTTCTTCTGGCTGTTTGCATTCCTGGACTCTTCTCCGCTCCAGCTCCGCCACCGCCCGGAACTTTCTGACGTCCCTATGGAAGCGCGCATACTCCTTCCGGTGTGGACGAGTCTCTGCACAAACCGCATCCGCTCTGTCCCATTGCAGAAATAGCACTCGTGTTTAATCTGCTCCAAGAAATGTGCCGCAGGGACATGAAGAACCGGTTTCTTGGGCGGCATCCTAGGAAAAGAGTGATGGCTATGCCCACAATCAGCAGGGCGAGGGGCGGAACACCTTGACTGGCCCCCACCAGCCACCCCCGACCACCTAGGGGTTCCTCTTCCATCTGCCTGAGGCGGAGGGAGGCTGCGAGGGGCGTGGAATACCATTTGGGATCCGCTACCCATTTCCGAGCTGAGCTGGACGCCTCTTTGCAAGGCTCTGGATCAGGATCACCTTCCTCATCACTGTCTCCTGCGCTTCCTCCTCCTGGGAGCCTCCATCCAAAAGACACTTCTGCTGCCTCCTATCATGCCACACTCTACTCATTCCTTAAACAAGACCCACTGCCTCCATTCTGTAAATGCTTCCTTAGTGCTTACCTTGTGTCTCATCTGTGCCGTCTCCTGGGAATCCAAACGGGAAAAATAGACCTCATCCCTCCGCTGGAGGAGCTTAAAGAGAAGTGAAATTGATGGCAAAAAACCAAACACGCAACACCTTATACAGGAACGAAAAATGTTAAGAGAAGTGTGGAGTTCTAGAAGAAAGAATAGGATGATCTAAATTACATTAGGGTGCCAGAGAAGGACTCTGAGAGTGACAGCTCAAATGTGACCTTACAGGTTTAGTGGGTGTGAGCCAGGGGGCAGAGTGGAGCCCGTGTGTGTCTCTGGACAAAAAGGGAGGCACATTTCAGGTAAGCATAATATCATGTACAAAAGCTTGAAAGAATTGATGAACTTCTTCAAGAAACCAGAAAAAAGTTCACTAAAGCACAGCATGAAGGAAAGGAGGGGAAAAGATTAAACTGGAGAAATCACAAGAAGGGAACAATTAAAATCATTGTCATGTTAGGATTTCGATTTATACTAAATGTAATGGGAAACAGTTGAAGAGTCCATGACCCCAACACAGGTCCACAAACTTTTTTTTTTGGACTTTCTAAATCCAGAAAACTCACGAATTCACTTGCTGTTGTTTTTAATTTGTTGCCGAAACTCATTTGGCAAATCTGATCTGAAGAGGTAAGGACTCAAAAGTGTCACAGAGCTCTTACTGGTGACATGTGCATCTGTAGTTTCAATATATATAAACATACAAACATACGTATGCATGTGTAAATACACACAGATTTCAAATACTGTGCATGTATATATTTTTGATGTTTTTGTATTTATGTTTAAATGAACTATGAAAAATAAAAAATAAAGAAAAATCCTTGTGTTTAATAAAATGAGATGAATAGAAAGCATTTTTAAAATAATAATTTTTTTTTTAAGTTCTGGGTACATGTGCAGGATGTACAGGTTTGTTACACAGGTAAACATGTGCCATGGTGGTTTGCTGCAGCTATCAACCCATTACCTAGGTATTAAGCCCAGCACGCATTGGCTCTTTTCCCTAATGTTCTCCCCAGCTCTGCCCTCCCCCAGCAGACCCCAGTAAGTGTTGTTCTCCTCCCTGTGTCCATGTGTTCTCATTGTTTAGCTCCCATTTATATGTGAGAACATGCGGTGTTTGGTTTCCTGTTTCTGTGTTAATTTGCTGAGGATAATGGCTTCCAGCTTCATCCATGTCTCTGCAAAGGACGTGATCTCATTCCTCTTTATGGCTGCATAGTATTCCGTGGTGTATATGTACCACAGTGAATAGAAAGCATCTTACATTATCAGTAGTATAAAATGTAGAATTACTGCAGAAATCTGAAGCATTTTACTGAAAAATATTTGGGATAGTCGTCACCATTTATGACTTATAATTACCAGTTGTTGAAAGTTAATAGAGATAGTAATTATCAAGAACACATCAAAATTTTGAAATAAACTGCATAACGCAAAAAAGTAAAAATGAAAATCTTGAACCTGCATTGATTGAATGGATTCATCAAGAAAGCAGTGAATTTATGCAACTGTCTAGTTTTTTTTTTTTTTTTTTTGGCAATGAAACAAGCAAAACTAAGCCATGAAGAGCTGAACTAAGAGATAAATGTGTTTTAAAAGTGTGAGTCTAGAATTTTTAGAAGAAACACAATGTAAACCAGTGTTCTCAGCCTTGGCACTATTGACATTTTGGACTAGATAATATTTTCTTGGTGAGAGGAGCTGTCTACTAGGGTCCCTAGCTTCTACTTGTTACATGTCAGAAGAAACTCCTGGTGTGACAACCAAAAATGGCTCCAGACATTGCCAAATGTTCCCTAGGGAGTTGGGAGAGGGAAGGGAGGGACAGAGGGGTGGTGAACTATCCCTGGGTGAGACCCACTAGTGTAACCATCTGAAAAATCTATGGTTAAAAAGCCGCTATTAATTATGGAATATTTGAGATTTACACTGAAAACTCTGCCAATATTCTATCTATTTAAAATCTTGGTCCTACATAAAACTTAGGATTTTTAGGAATCTAGTCCCAGTGCAGAGCTATTTTTCTAGCAAAATTAATTCATTCAGAACCAAGGTTTACTGATTTATTTGCCTTCCCAGTCGCCAAGTCATATTCTTAATTTCTGTGTCACTGGTCCACTACTCACTGCCTCAGCTAATTCATTTTCTAACTTTCAGTTTCCTACTCCCAACAATACAAGGAGGCATCAAATTACCAACCTTGGACAGAGGCAGAACTCTCATTTCTGTAGTTAAGCCTTCTCAGAAGGGGAGTGCTATGGTTTGGCTGCGTAAGCATTTCAATCTTGTCTTGAATTGTAGCTCCCACAATTCCCACGTGTTGTGGGAGGGACCAGGTGGGAGATAGTTGAGTCATGGGGGCAGGTCTTTCCCCATGCTGTTCTCATGACAGTGAATAAGTCTTATGAGATCTGATGGTTTTATAAAGGGAAAAACCCTTTCGCTTGCTGTCATTCTTCTCTTGCCTGCCATCATGTGAGACATGCCTTTCACCTTCCGCTGTGATTGTGAGATCTCCCCAGCCACATGGAACTGTGAGTCTATTATAGCCCTTTTTCCTTATAAATTATCCAGTCTTGGGTATGTCTTTATCCGCAGCCTGAAAACAGACTAATACAGGGAGAAACTAAGAAGATGGCATTCTCTCATAGATAGTTTCCAAAAAACGAGCAAGTCCCCAGATTTTGCGTAGAGACTTTCACAAGCTCCCTTCACCCTTCAGAAATGATAGCAGAGAGGAGAGCACTTTGGATGAGATAAGGTCTATCTTATTATTCCTAAATTCTCTGAGCACCTTCTTCACAGATAAGAATGTTGAAAAATAAAAATATGTGAAGTTGCCGTCACTGTAGCTTGCATAGTTAGCACTGCAGTCTATGCTCATGTGCCAAGCTTAGATTGCCATATTTAGCAAATAAAAATAGAGGGTGCCTAGTTAAATTTGGATTTCAAATACATTATTGTTGTTTATCTGAAGTTCGGATTTAACTGGGTATCCTGTACTTTATTTGGCAACCTTAGCCCAACTTGCTAATAATGCTCAGAAGGAGTGAATTTAATACTTCTTTGTTTTCTTTAACACATGCCTATGACAGCGTGCACATAGGGAAGTTTTCAAATGATAAATGCAAAATGAATGAAAGTTTCTCCTTTACATTGGGACTAGCAGACCTTGCATCTCTCTCCCACCCTGAGACACACCCTGTACATAAGAAATTCTATCAATAATTCAGACTCAGTCTAGTCACTATTCACTAATGGTGGTTGTAAGCTAAGGCTCTAGAATCAGGAAATCTGAATTTAAACATGACCCCTTCTACTTGGGTTAATTTTAACAATCATTAACCTTTAAATATATATATAAAATGGATCCAACAGTAATATATTCCTCACAGGATTATTGTTGAGGGTAAAACTAAGCAGTGGCTCTTCTTAGTGCTGATAATATAATAATCACTCTAATATATTACCATTTTATTTTTACAATCCCTATAAAGGAAAGCTTCATTATTTTTCTATTCCTTAACTTCTAAAGCAAGTAACGTCTACATCATGATTTGGCAATTGTCTTTTATTAATTTAGCACTAATTACCATTTTAAACACATGAGGACAGAAACACTGGTTTATATATAATAATTCACATGCCTAAACCTCACACAAAAGGAGATTGCTGATATCGAAGAGAGGGACTTCATATATACTCAGATTTAAATTGCAATCGGATTTCTAGCACTAACTTTGTGACAGTGGGTAAGTTCATTATACCCTTTGAATTTTAGATTCCAAAGATGTATATGCTTTTAAATACCAAAGATATGATAGGATAGGTATTAGATTTCCATACCAAAATTTATAAGCCTGGTAATTAGTCACTGCAAAATATTACAATACTCCACGCTAATACAGACCAGATTTGCTTTGTTTATTACTCCATTCTCATCACCCAAGGTAATAACTAGTATATTCTAAGTCACTAATAAATATTGGCTGTATGAACTAATAGCCTTTTGCATAACCTGTCACCACTGTACACAGGGGCCTTCTAGTGCTTCATTGCCAATGACTGAGCATCTGTCTCTGGTTCACAGGTCATCCAGCTTCTTTGTTCATTTTCTTTAGATCCAGCTGGCTCCCTGATCCCAGAGCATAGTCTTTCCCTGAGGCTCGCTACTCAAAAGAGTCAAACTTCATCCAGCCCTCACTTCTTCCACCCGCTCTTCAACTGGTCCAATCCACTTTCCATCCTGGATACTCCACTGACTGCAAATACCAACTCCTCCAAACCCAGTACTTGCGTCTCTGTCACGTTCTTACTTCACTCACCTGTCAGTGGTTCTCACCACAACTGGCCACTCCCTCGCCTCGAAAAAATCATTTTTCTTTGATTCCCATGCATCACATTCCTTGGGTTTTTTTTCTCCAGCATCTCTGGGGAATCTTCTCAGTCCCTTATGCTGTCCTGTGGCCCTCTGATATTTTTTCTACACAAAAATCTATCTCCCTCTGCAACCTCTTCCACTTCCCTGGAATTTAACACAGAACCTGCATCGACCCCAACATAAATACCTCCAGCCCTGGCCTCACCCTGAACTCCTCTCTTATATTCAGTTGACTTCCTGATTGCTTCATGTGAGTTCAAAAATCATCTCAATTTTAATAAACACAATTGTCATTTCTAATCACCCACTTCAAATCATTTCCTCCCATATTCTTCCCTATTTCAATAAGCAGCACCACCATCCACCTATTTATCAAGGCAAAATACTTAGAAATAAGTTACATTTAATCCATTAACAAGTCATGCAAAAAGACATCCCAAGTCTGTTCACTTTATCTGGATCTGTCTTTGTCACTACTACACTACATGAAGCCAAAAATTTGTCTTCCCTGGAGAATTCTGCTGTTCTCCACTTGTGAACCCCAACAATCCAATCTCCACATAGTAGCTAGAATTATTTTTAAAATTGAATATTATCGGGGGACCTGCCCGGATAATCACGTAGTTTCTTTTCTATTTTCCTAAGCATCGGCCGGCTTGAGAAATAAAGGGACAGAGTACAAAAGAGAGAAATTTTAAAGCTGGGGGAGACATCACACGTTGGTAGGATCCACAGTGCCCCACAAGCCACAAAAACCAGCAAGTTTTTATTAGGGATTTTCAAAAGGGGAGGGAGTGTGCGAATAGGTGTGGGTGACAGACATCAAGTACTTAACAGGGTAATAGAATATCACAAGGTAAGTGGAGGCAGGGCGAGATCACAGGACCACAGGACCGAGGCGAAATTAAAATTGCTAATGAAGTTTCAGGCACCATTGTCATCAATAACATCTTATCAGGAGACATGGTTTTGAGATCAACTGATCTGATCAAAATTTATTAGGTGGGAATTTCCTCTTCCTAATAAGCCTGGGAGTGCTATGGGAGACTGGAATCTATCTCACCTCTGCAATCTCGACCAGAAGAGATAGGTACGCCCCGGGGGGGCCAGTTCAGAGACCTACCCCTAGGTGCGCATTCTCTTTCTCAGGGACATTCCATGCTGAGAAAAAGAATTCAGCAATATTTCTCCCATTTGCTTTTGAAAGAAGAGAAATATGGCTCTGTTCTGCCTGGCTCACCGGCAGTCAGAGTTTAAGGTTATCTCTCTTATTCCCTGAACAATTGCTGTTATCCTGTTCTTTTTTCAAGGTGCCCACATTTCATATTGCTCAAACACACATACTGTACAATTTGTGCAGTTAATGCAATTATCACATAGTCCTGAGGCGACGTACATCCTCCTCGGCTGATAGGATTAAGAGATTAAAGTAAAGGCAGGCATAGGAAATCACAAGGGTATTGATTGGGGAAGTGATAAGTGTCCATGAAATCTTTACAATTTATGTTTAGAGATTGCAGTAAAGACAGGCATAAGAAATTACAAAAGTATTAATTTGGGGAACTAATAAATGTGCATAAAATCTTCACAATCCACATTCTTCTGTTCTGGCTTCAGCCGGTCCCTCTGTTTGGGGTCCCTGACTTCCCGCAACATAATATTAATGGACTCTCCTTGTAACCTCCCAGGAGCTTCCAATATGTTTAAATAAAACTTAATTCCTTACTATGGCCACCAAGGCCGAATATGATGCAGCTCCTGACTTTCTCTCTCTCTTACCTCATCTTCTGCCACTCCACCCCTTGCTTTCCATCCCTCAGCCCCTCTAACCTTCTTTCTGTCTCTTCAACACAGCACACGCCTTCCCATTCCTTGGCCTTTCCCCTTTTCTGTCTGTCTGGAACACTTGTCCCTTAGATCTTCACATGGCTGTCTTATTGTTCTTGTCTCAGCTAAATGTGAGCTCTCCTCAGGGAGGGCTCCCAAACTACCTGTGAATCCAATGTGAAGTTGGGTGAATCCAATTCTCTCTGTCCTATCACCCTGATGTCTTTTTTTAAAGGCATTATTGCTCTCTGAATTTTTCTTTTTTGTTAAATATTTATTGGGATATTGTCTGTCTCCTCTGGTATTGAGTTCCATGAGAGTAGGGATCTTTTTTATCCTATTCAAGTAGAAATCTCTGAGCCTAGAACAGAGACCAGAACAAAACTTTTGCTCAGAAACATACCTGTGGTCTAAATGAATAAACCGAAGTTCTGGGAACTGATCACTCTGGGTATTCTAGAAAGCAGAAAAGGGCTCAAGCTCCTGCACCCTTTCATTCTAATGACATGCTATATCCCTTCTCCTCCCTGTGAGAAATTAAGGCAAACTTCTTTTCTCTCCTCTTTCTAGTTGGAAGAAGGATTCACAGATAAGGAAACAGTGATTGTAAGAAAGAAAAAAATTTTCATTAAGAATTACCTCTTTTCTGCCGGGCGCAGTGGCTCACGCCTGTAATCCTAGCACTTTGGGAGGCTGAGGCAGGCGGATCATGAGGTAAGGAGTTTGAGAACAGCCTGGCCAACATGGTGAAACCCCGTCTCTACTAAAAATACAAAAATTACCTGGGAGGTGGAGGTTGCAGTGAGCTGAGACTGCACCATTGCACTCCAGCCTGGGCAACAGAGCGAGACTCCATCTCAAAAAAAAAAAAAAAAGAATTATCGGTTTTTTTTTTTTAATAGTTTAAGTTCTAGGGTACATGTGCACAATGTGCAGGTTTGTTACATATGTATACATGTGCCACGTGGTGTGCTGCACCCATTAACTCTTCATTTACATTAGGTATATCTCCTAATGCTATCCCTCCCCCCTTCCTCCACCCCACAACAGGCCCCGGTGTGTAAAGTTCCCCTTCCTGTGTCCATGTGTTCTCATTGTTCAATTCCCACCTATGAGTGAGAACATGCGGTGTTTGGTTTTTTGTCCTTGCAATAGTTTGTTGAGAATGATGGTTTCCAGCTTCATCCATGTCCCTGCAAAGGACACGAACTTATCCTTTTTTATGGCTGCATAGTATTCCATGGTGTATATGTGCCACATTTTCTTAATCCAGCCTATCATTGTTGGACATTTGGGTTGGTTCCAAGTCTTTGCTATTGTGAATAGTGCAACAATAAACATACATGTGCATGTGTCTTTATAGCAGCATGATTTATAATCTTTTGGGTATATATCCAGTAATGGGATTGCTGGGTCAAATGGTATTTCTAGTTCTAGATCATTGAGGAATCGCCACACTGATTTCCACAATGGTTGAACTAGTTTACAGCCCCACCAACAGTGTAAAAGTGTTCCTATTTCTCCACATCCTCTCCAGCACCTGTTGTTTCCTGACTTTTTAATGATCTCCATTCTAACAGGTGTGAGATGGTATCTCATTGTGGTTTTGATTTGCATTTCTCTGATGGCCAGTGTTGATGAGCATTTTTTCATGTGTCTTTTGGCTGCATAAATGTCTTCTTTTGAGAAGTGTCTGTTCATATCCTTCACCCACATGTTGCTTTGGTTGTTTGTTTTTTTCTTGTAAATTTGTTTGAGTTTTTTGTAGTTTCTGGATATTAGCCCTTTGTCAGATGAGTAGATTGGAAACATTTTCTCCCATTCTGTAGGTTGCCTGTTCACTCTGATGGTAGTTTCTTTTGCTGTGCAGAAGCTCTTTAGTTTAATTAGATCCCATTTGTCCATTTTGGCTTTTGTTGCCATTGCTTTTGGTGTTTTAGACATGAAGTCCTTGCCCATGCCTATGTCCTGAATGGTATTGCCTAGGTTTTCTTCTAGGGTTTTTATGGTTTTAGGTCTAACATTTAAGTCTTTACTCCATCTTGAATTAATTTTTGTATAAGGTGTAAGGAAGGGATCCAGTTTCAGCTTTCTACATATGGCTAGCCAGTTTTCCCAGCACCATTTATTAAATAGGGAATCCTTTCCCCATTTCTTGTTTTTGTAAGGTTTGTCAGAGATCAGATAGTTGTAGATATGTGGCATTATTTCTGAGGGCTCTGTTCTGTTCCCTTGATCTATATCTCTGTTTTGGTACCAGTACCATGCTGTTTTGGTTACTGTAGCCTTGTAGTATAGTTTGAAGTCAGGTAGCATGATGCCTCCAGCTTTGTTCTTTTGGCTTAGGATTGACTTGGCAATGAGGGCTCTTTTTTGGTTCCATATGAACTTTAAAGTAGTTTTTTCCAATTCTGTGAAGAAAGTCATTGGTAGCTTGATGAGGATGGCATTGAATCTATAAATTACCTTGGGCAGTATGGCCATTTTCATGATATTGATTCTTCCTACCCATGAGCATGGAATATTCTTCCATTTGTTTGTGTCCTCTTTTATTTCATTGAGCAGCAGTTTGTAGTTCTCCTTGAAGAGATCCTTCACATCCCTTGTAAGTTGGATTCTTAGATATTTTATTCTCTTTGAAGCAATTGTGAATGGGAGTTCACTCATGATTTGGCTCTCTGTCTGTTATTGGTGTATAAGAATGCTTGTGATTTTTGCACATTGATTTTGTATCCTGAGACTTTGCTGAAGTTGCTTATCAGCTTAAGGAGATTTTGGGCTGAGACGATGGGGTTTTCTAGATATACAATCATGTCATCTGCAAACAGGGACAATTTGACTTCCTCTTTTCCTAATTGAATACCCTTTATTTCCTTCTCCTGCCTGATTGCCCTGGCTAGAACTTCCAACACTATGTTGAATAGGAGTGGTGAGAGAGGGCATCTTTGTCTTGTGCCCGTTTTCAAAGGGAAAGCTTTCAGTTTTTGCCCATTCAGTATGATATTGGCTGTGGGTTTGTCATAAATAGCTCTTATTATTTTGAGATACATCCCATCAATACCTAATTTATTGAGAGTTTTTAGCATGAAGGGTTGTTGAATTTTGTCAAAGGCCTTTTCTGCATCTATTGAGATAATCATGTGGTTTTTGTCGTTGGTTCTGTTTATGTGCTGGATTACCTTTATTGATTAGCATTTGTTGAACCAGCCTTGCATCCCAGGGATGAAGCCCACTTGATCATGGTGGATAAGCTTTTTGATGTGCTGGTGGATTCGGTTTGCCAGTATTTTATTGAGGATCTTTGCATCGATGTTCATCAGGGATATTGGTCTAAAATTCTCTTTTTTTTTCGTTGTGTCTCTGCCCGGCTTTGGTATCAGGATGATGCTGGCCTCATAAAATGAGTTAGGGAGGATTCCCTCTTTTTCTATTGATTGGAATAGTTTCAGAAGGAATGGTACCAGTTCCTCCTTGTACCTCTGATAGAATTCGGCTGTGAATCTGTCTGGTCCTGGACTTTTTGGTTGGTAAGCTATTAATTATTGCCTCAATTTCAGAGCCTGTTATTGGTCTATTCAGAGATTCAACTTCTTCCTGGTTTAGTCTTGGGAGAGTGTATGTGTCGAGGAATTTATCCATTTCTTCTAGATTTTCAAGTTTATTTGCGTAGAGGTGTTTATAGTATTCTCTGATGGTAGTTTGTATTTCTGTGGGATCGGTGGTGATACCCCTTTATCATTTTTTATTGCGTCTATTTGATTCTTCTCTCTTTTCTTCTTTATTAGTCTTATTAGCGGTCTATCAATTTTGTTGATCTTTTCAAAAAACAAGCTCCTGGATTCATTGACTTTTTTGAAGGGTTTTTTGTGTCTCTATTTCCTTCAGTTCTGCTCCGATCTTAGTTATTTCTTGCCTTCTGCTAGCTTTTGAATGTGATCGCTCTTGCTTCTCTAGTTATTTTAATTTTGATGTTAGGTTGTCAGTTTTAGATCTTTCCTGCTTTCTCTTGTGGGCATTTAGTGCTATAAATTTCCCTCTACTTTAAAGCTAGAATTAGTTTCTAAAACTGAACATGAATTGACTCTCCTTGTAACCATCCAGTAGTGTCTCACATCTATTTAAATAAAATTCAGGCTGGGTACGGAGACTAATGACTGTAATCCCAGCAGTTTGGGAAGCCAAGGCAGGCAGATTACCGGAGGTCAGGAGTTCGAGACCAGCGTGGCCAACATGGTAAAACCCTGTCTCTACTAAAAATACTAAAAAATTAGCCTGGCATGGTGGCAGGCGCCTGTAGTCCCAGCTACTCGGGAGGCTGAGGCAGGAAAATCACGTGAGCCCAGGAGGCAGAGGTTGTAGTGAGCCGAGGCCACGCCATTGCATCCAGCCTGGGCAACAAGAACGAAACTCCATCTCAAAAAATAAATAATGAAATAAAAAAATGAAAATAAATAAAATAAAATTCAAATTTCTTACCATGGACATCAGAGCCTAATATAATGAGGCTCCTGACTTCCTCTCTGCTTCCTACCTCATCCTCTGCCTCTGCATTTCCTTGAATGCTATAGTTCAGTGTCTCTAGCTTTCTTTCTGTCCCTGCACGTAATTTCCCACACCAGGGCTTCCTGCTCCCCCTGCCCCCACATTCTGTCTCCCTGGAACTTTCGTCCCTTAGATCTTCACATGGCTCTCTACTTATTTTGTTGTCTCAGCTGAATGTCACTTTCTCAGGCAGAGCTTTCTAAACACATGAGCTAAAGTTGGGTGAATCCATTTCTCTCTTTTCCACAAACCTGATGTCTTTTCTTCAGTGCACTATTACTCTCTAACGTTATCTTCTTTGTTAATTGCATATTGGGTTAATGTCTGTCTCCTCTATTGTTGTGTAACTTCCATGAGAGTCGGGACCCTCTCTATCTTAATCAAATACAATGATTTGAACTTGGAATGGAGCCGAGTACACAGTAGCTGCTGAGAAAAATAAGTGTGGTTTACATGAATAAACCAGGGATCTGGGAACTGATCACTGTTTGGATCCTGGAAAGCAAGAAGGGGCTCAAACTCCAGCACTCTTTCATTTTGATGTCACACTAGACCCCTTCTCCTCCCGGTGTGAAATACAGGCAAAGTTCTTCTTTCTCCTCCTTCTAGTTGTAAGAATTCACAGATAAAGATTAACAGTGATTTAAGAAATAATAAATTTTTAAATTAAGATTCATCTATTTTTTGCCTGGGTGCGGTGGCTCAAACCTATAACCCTAGCATGTTGGGAGGTCAAGGCTGGAGGATTGCTTGAGTCCAGCAGTTTAAGACCAGCCTGGGTAACATAGCAAAGTCTCATCTCTAGCAAAATTACAAAAATCAGCTGGGCATGGTTTCCTGCCTGTAGTCTCCACTACTCTGGAGGCTGAGGAGGGAGGCTCGCTTGAGCCTGGGAGGCAGAGGTTGCAGTAAGCCTAGATCATAACACGGAACTACAGCATGGGTGACAGAGCCAGGCCTTGTCTCAAAAAAAGGAAAAAATCTCTTTCAATGGATCTCATAGTGCTCTGGGTCTGTGCAAGCTTTAGGAATTTCTGGAAATGATGACAACATAGCTGGGGAAAAATAAAAACTGGAGGAAGAGGTAAGCAGACATGGCTAATTAAGGAAAGCTGAGGGCATAATGGGTGAACCTATGAAATTTAAGACAAGACCCCAGTAAGACAATGAGTTCCCAGGACTTGCTCATTGACTTTCAGCCCTATGGGATGTGAACAATGTCCACATTGTCTCTATAACCCCACACAGTATATAGTTTGAACATTATTAAATTTCTGATATTTGACTGTTTTTGACTTACAAAAATAGAATTTCATATAATTTATCCTACGTTAGTTGAATATCTTCTTGTTATGTCTAGTTAGAGCATGTAGGACATGTAGGAGAAATTTCTATAGAAAGGTTAGAAGAGATTCGTAATAAACACTAAGCTGGGCCAGGTTTTCCGAGGATGCCTTAAGTTCTTTAGGCACGAAAGAACACCCCAGAGATGCTCTTTATCTGTAGGGTGACTCCAAGTACTAAAGATCTTAGCTTCAGTTCCAGGGATTTTTCCCCATAAGAAAGACAGAGCACTAAGTATAACTTCTGTCAGAGAACCTACATACACTACAGGGATATAGGCTTTATAAACATTGGAGTTAGAAAGAAAAAGAAAGGAGATAATGGGGAGGCCATTGGTACATCCTCACATTTGAGGAAGAGGGGCCAACACCAAAGTTCCTGTGGAGGACATAACCCAGGATCCTCTAGAAGAGACCCTTTGAATTCCCTTGACTCCCACAAAATTTTCAGTAAAAACGTCATTTTGTCTGACGTAAGTCAACATAATAAAGGGAAGTGCCGTATGGGGAAATTATTTTAGCATCCTTATTTCCAAATCCTCTAAACACCCTGAGGACATGTGATGCAAAGGTTTTATTGGTGGAGATTTGAAAAGAAATGATCTGTACGAAGGCCCCTTACACAGTCTCATGGACTGTGTCATGAGCAAGTAGTCAAGCTCCTTTCGTGGAGGAGATAATTTGGGATCCAATAATACAGATGCACAATCTCTGACCAAAAAGTCACAAAGTCTTAAGGGACATGGCCTGGGCACAATGTTAACAAAACTCCCTATTTTCCCCACCCCATAGTAGCTCAACACCCACAATGTGCACTTATATCCGGTGTCCCCAGCCAAAGCCAGTGGGAAGCTCAGCACCATCAGTGTCACTGTCAGCGCTGCCATGCGGGAGCCTCCAGGGAGCTTCACACACCATGCTGGAGAACAGGAAAGGACCAGGGGCCAGAGGAGGAGGCAAGTCTTACTCAGGAAGAACTATGAACCCCTCCACCCACATTCCAAATTATGGGGAGGAGGTTACTGACTTCCTTGCTCCTGGGTTGGGTAATCTCGTGTTGGAGAACCAATCAGCATCTGAGTTCAATAGCATCATCAGTTGCTGGTCAGAGATGCTGTATGAAGGTCCTCTTCTGAAACAGAATTTCCTTCTTTAAAGGATTGTTTTTAAATTAGTACTTGAAAGATTTGATCCAGTTGCATGTAAAACACTTTAATTGGGTCCGATTGTGAGCCAGCTCTGTGCTGGTCAGTGATGTGTTCATAAGTTTGAGCCTTGTAAGAGCATTCATTTCCCACTTAACAAGACAA
This sequence comes from Homo sapiens, assembly GCF_000001405.40. Lineage (NCBI taxonomy): Eukaryota > Metazoa > Chordata > Mammalia > Primates > Hominidae > Homo > Homo sapiens. The sequence goes on from NT_167244.2 coordinate 3,806,156, forward strand.
CTGTTTGCAGAAGTGAGTGTGTGAGTGTGTTTAGGAGTAAAGGAGATGGAAGGAACATGGTTGTAAATCCGGAGACATTTAAACTGGTCCTTATTGCACCATATCTTAATGTTGTAGATTTGGGAAAATTATTTCATGTCTCACAGTTGAAATGAAGGCACTGTGATCTTTCAGGTCTTTCGATACTGGAAAATGCTGTGATTCTGTGGACGCCTGAAGGAGCAGCAGCCCCGGGTATCTGATAATATGACAGAATGACAGCTATTGACTAGAGAGCTTAATCCGTACCTGTTTACAGGTAGGGATGTCTTTAATAAGTTAAAGGAAATTGAAAGTTTGTTAATAATTTAATCTGAGTAAGAATATCTTTTTCAAGTGTGTCTCCTGATGCTGCCCCCAGGTTTAGTGGCCCCTCCAGAACACACACAGGCAAGGGGCTAACAGGGGCCACCTATGTGCAATGGAGGGTCTGAAGGTGCCTTTGTATGGCATTTACCCTAACAATGTGATAAGGTCAACTGTGCAATCCAAGTATTCATGGGTCTGAGAGATCGATCGAAGACTGTGAAAGTTAGCTGTTCATAGAACAACTCTTTTTTTTTTGAGACGGAGTCTGTCTCTGTTGCCCAGGCTGGAGTGCAGTGGAGCGATCTCAGCTCACTGCAACATCTGCCTCCTCGGTTCAAAGATTCTCCTGCCTCAACCTCCCAAGTAACTCTGACTACAGGCACTTGCCACCATGCTTGGTTAATTTTTTGTATTTTTAGTGGAGATGGGTTTCACTGTGTTAGCCAAGATGGTCTCGATCTCCTGACCTCATGTTCTTCCTGCCTCGGCCTCCCAAACTGCTGGGGTTACAGGCGTGAGCCATCGTGCCTGGCCACATTATGTTTTAAAATAATGAATATTTTATGTGAAGAGTGTTCAATCCCTCATTCTTGGTTCCCATTATGATTTCCTCATTTGATTGAGGCTATAGCACTTTATATTATGTTTCTCTTGTTTTATCATAAGGGAAGATAAAAGACGACTTTGCTAACTAATACATTTCAGAATATTCAGGAAAGAGAACACTAGGGAAAACTATGAATTACATCAGTTGATGTAACTATGTAATATTAAACATATTATTATACATTTAGATAATTACTATGCTTTTTATTAATATAAATATAACATCTAAGATTCAGAATGGACTTCAGAATACAACTATGCTTATAAAGTTCTGCATTAATTCACATGCTACCACATAGGCACTCATTTGTCTTTTTTTTTGTTTGTTTGTTTGTTTGTTTGTTTTGAGATGGAGACTCGTTCTGTCGCCCAGGCTGGAGTGCAGTGGCGCGATCTCTGCTCACTGCAAGCTCAGCCCCCCAGGTTCATGCCATTCTCCTGCCTCAGCCTCCTGGGTAGCTGGGACTACAGGCGCCCGCCACAACTCCCGGCTAATTTTTTTGTATTTTTAGTAGAAACAGGGTTTCACCGTGTTCGCCAGGATGGTCTCAATCTCCTGACCTTGTGGTCTGCCTGCCTCGGCCTCCGAAAGTGCTGGGATTACAGGCGTGAGCCACCGCGGCTGGACTAAAGTCTGTAACCTGTCTTTATGGAGAACTACTTTTGAGGCCGTACACTTCTTTCAGTAACAATATTGTCTAAGTAATGGTATGGCAAAGTTGTTTCTACCTTTTCTGGAGCTATTTTGACATTCCATTTAGTTAAAGCCTACTTTGTTTCTTAGAATAACCGATGTAAGATTTGATCTGTAGGAGTGGCCAAAAGAATGTCATCCATAAAATGAATGATGTAAGCAGTAGGAAACATATTTCGAGGCTCCTTTAATGCCTGTCCTACAAAATGCTGACATAACGTAGGACTGTTAAGCATGCCTTGGGATAAAACTCTCCATTGATAGCAAGAAACAGGTTCTTTTTGATTAATAGAAGGCACAGAGAGGGCAAATCGAGGCTTATCCTTCTTGTGTAATGGTATAGTGAAGAAACAATCCTTAAGATGTATTACTACAAGAAGCCAATCTCTAGGAATGACCACTGGAGTTGGCAAACCTTGCTGTAATGGACCCATTGGTTCAATTTGTGCATTAACTCCAAACATGCAGCAGTCACCACCTTCCGGACTTTTTTGGAATAACAAACACTGGTGAATTCTGGGGGCTTACTGACTCCTCTACATGTCCTGTGTCCTGTTGTTCTTATACTAGCTGCTGAAGTTGTGTCAGCTTCTCCTGAGATAGGGGCCATTGATCCACACATACAGGTTTGTCACTGGCCATTCTAATGGTAAGGCAGAGGGTGGAGGAGAAATATCAATGACCCTCATCAGAAATCCTGACGTCCTAGCCCTCTTCTATCTGTTTTTTCCAGTTATTGATGTTGGGTTAGCTTTTCCTCGTAGGAATTTCCCTAAACCTTTCCCACTCTGATATCCCATGTCCTTCAACATTTTAAATTCTGGGTTATCAAAGTTTTCATTTGTAAGTCTCATATTCCATGCTGTAAGTAAGTCTCGATCCCATAAATTGATTGCCATATTTGCAACATAAGGCTGAAAAGTACATGGCTGTCCATCCGGACCAAGACAAGGTAAAATGTCAGCACTCTGTTGAACACTTTTAGCTGCTCCTACTCCCACTAGGGATGTGGAGGTTAGTCTGAGAGACCATACTGGGGGTCAGTCCTTACTGGATATTACTGACACTTCAGCTCCTCTATCCATAAGTCCTATGGGCTATGGGATGGGATAGATAGATTTCCCTTGTAGTTGTGCTCTCAAACCCTTTATTTCCTCGTTTCTCCTTTCGTGGAGAAGGATTTAATTTGCAGGGAATAAGCAACGACCGAGCAATATATTCTCCCAGTTCAAAAATGCAAAGATTTTCGACATTAAAACTACTTGAATTTCTCCTTCATAAATGGAATCAACTATTCCAGGGACTACAGTCATGCCTTGCAAGTTAAGGGGGCTTTTGCCTAAAATTAGTCCTATGTATCCTGTTGGTAAATATCCCCAAATGCCAGTGGGAACCTTGGTAGGTTTGTCTCCTCCAACTAATGTAGTTCTTTCTCTGGTGGGGATATCTAATCCTGCACTTCCTGGTGTTCCTGAGGTGAGGAACACCAGGAATCAATGTTTTTCCTGAGACCCATCCCTGAAGTGGGACTGTGGTCTGAACTGGAAATGCCCTCATTGCTTGAGGGGCCCGGGTCCACGCCCCCTTCTAGTTTCGTGACAGGTGGGTGCTGTTTTGATGAAATTTTGAGCGGCACTGATTAGCCTAGTGATTTCCTTTGTTACAGTGAGGACAAAGTCCTGGTGTTTTTTTCTGCTGGGTGGGGCACTGCATCGTAATGTCCTTTCTGTCCTGAGATCTGGCGGAATTCCTTTTTAAAATGTCCAGTTTTGGCTGGACACGGTGGCTCATGCCTGTAATCCAAGCACTTCGGGAGGCAGAGGTGGGCGGATTACAAGGTCAGGAGATCGAGACCATCCTGGCTAACATGGTGAAACCCCATCTCTTAAACAAATACAAAAAATTAGCTGGGCGTAGTGGCAGGTGCCTGTAGCCCCAGCTACTTGGGAGGCTGAGGCAGGAGAATGGCGTGAACCTGGGAGGAGGAGCTTGCAGTGAGCCGAGGTTGCACCACTGCACTCCAGCCTGGACGACAGAGCGAGACTCCATCTCAAAAAAAAAAAAAAAAAAAAGTACAGTTTTTCCACGGTTATAACATTTTCCCATTTTAGGGTTTGACCCTTGGTTCCTTTTAGATTTGTCAACTGCTAAATTAGCCATTGCCTGCACTAATATTGTAGAGCAATGAAGCTCATTTCCCACATCTTGACAAGCTCTGAGAAAATTTCCCAAGTTTTTTGTACACCTCACAGGTGCCGATGCACGTTTACAATCTGCATTTGCATTCTCAAAAGCTAGAGTTAAGGTTAGCATCTCTGCAGCAGTGGTGTGATAAATCTGATGCTTCATTGCCTTCTATAGTCATGCAAGAAATTGTGCATAAGGTTCTTGTGACCCTTGCATGATATGTAAAAAGGATTGCACTGGGACTCCCTCTTCTGGAATTGTGGCCCAGTCACATTTAGCAGCCTGTGCACACTGCTGGCATTTGGGAGTGCCATTTGATGTTCCAGGTCTGAATAAGGGCCATTACCTAAGAGCATGTCCTCTGTAATGTCTCTGTGTCCAGCCACACAATTCCGTCTAGCCTGGTCTGCACACATTTCTTGCCAATTTAAATTCCATGTCAGGTATGCACTAGGAGACAAACAAGTGTGAGCCAAATTCTTTACATTGAAGGGTAGAAGGCGCACAGCACCAAATACAGATACTAGCAATCCTAAAGTGAACAGGCTCTGTACACCATTATTTACCACACTCCTTTCAATTCCTTCAACAACTTAAACTCTAGTGGAGTGTGTTCATGAATAAGCTGCTATGGATTATTTGGATCAGGCCTTACAGAAATAGGAAAAGTGCAAGGTCCTAAGGGCTCTCCAGCTATGGCAGCAAGGTGTAAAATTCTCTGTATTGGGGTCTCTATTTCTGCTACCGAAGGAGGCAGTACAGATGTTTCTGCTATTGGAGGAGGTGGTATAGGCCAATTTTTATCCTCCTTCTCCTGTTTTTTATTTTCAATTGGAGCTGTGGGTGGGACAACAGATTTTTTCAGATTTTTAGACTCAGAACATCACTCCTGCTGTCCAGCAGAATAAGAAGGAGATAATGGCAGAAGGACAGTATGGACTAAACTCCAAGTGGAGAAAATGGAAGGATCAACTTTGAGACCTTTTTACTGAGCCCGTTTTAATCCTTCTGCTCTGTCCCAATTTTCCATATCAAGAGTGCCTGTCTGTGGGAACCATGGGTTATGCATAATAACCTCCTGCAGCATTGTAGTTAATGTCTGAGATCTAACCTGAGCACCAGATTATTTCAACAAAACTTTAAGCAACTGCACATAATGTTTTTCTTCGATAGACAAATTCTGCCTCATGTTACTCTGATTCAGAAAACTTCCCATTCCCAATACTTCTTTAGAGCACTGACCTTATATTGCTCCCAGTACCTCTTTAGGGCACTGACCTTATATCAGCTGCCAGCAGACTCATCTCGGGATCCCCATTCATCTTGTCAAATTCAGTTCCTCTGCTCCACCAGATCTTCTTTGTTCACATTCTCATGTCCCTGTGTTTAGAAACCACTATGGTGTCGCCCTGTCGCTGTTTGAACATCACTATGCCATGGACCCTGTTGGACTGAACAGAGGAGGATGAACGTGGAAATAAAGACAAAAGAGTATATTTGGAAGAAGGGGTCAGGGGCACCTTGCTCTTTGTGAACAAAGGCCCTGAGCCTTGAGCTTCCTTTGTATTTACTGAGAAGAGATAGCAAGAAGGGGGTCGTTGTCGGTCTGCTGCTTGCTCCAGAGCAGCCTTCCAAGACTGCATTCCTTGAACAATAGATTCTAGATGTCCCAGTAGATAACCTGAAGGAGCTCAGCGCCAGGGAGTGATTGCCCTCAGCAAACCTTCTGGTGGCCAGCACAGAGGAGAGTTTGCCCCTGCTCTGTATTCATGATAAACAGTTTGCTGTTTGATCATATTGCCTCAGTGGAAATTCTGAGTTGGTCATGATTCTCCAGCCTCTGGCTCTCTACACTGAATGGATTCAACAAGAAAGTGGTTGAATTTATGCAACTGTCTAGTTATTTATAATGAAACAAGCAAAAATTAGCCATAAAGAAGTGAATTGGGTGATGATTGTATAAAAGATGTGAGTCTAGGCCAGGCATGGTGGCTCTCGCCTGTAATCCCAGCAATTTGGGAGTCTGAGGCGGGCAGATCATGAGGTCAGAAGATCGAGACCATCCTGGCTAACACAGTGAAAACCAGTCTCTATTAAAAAAATACAAAAAAATTAGCCAGGTGCAGTGTCAGGCACCTGTAGTCCCAGCTACTCGGGAGGCTGAGGCAGGAGAATGGCATGAACCCAGAGGCAGAGCTGGCAGTGAGCCGAGATTGTGCCACTGCACTCCAGCCTGGGTGACAGAGCGAGACTCCATCTCAAAAAAACAAAACAAAACAAAACAAAAAGATGTAAGTCTAGACTTTTCAGAAAGAGCACAGTGTGAACCAGTGCTCTCAACCTCAGCACTATTGACATTTTGGACCAGGTAATTCTTTGTTGGTGATGGAGGCTGTTGTGTACATTGCAGGTTCTCTAGAAGTGTCCCTGGCTTCTACTCATTAAATATCAGAAGAAATCCCTGTTATGACAACCAAAAATTCCTCCAAACATTGCCACATGTTCCCCAAGGGTGATGGGAGGGAAGGGAGGGGTGGTGAACTATCCCTGGGTAAGAACCATGGGTGTGAACCATTTGAAAAAATCTGTGTTGAACAAGCCACTATTAGTTATGGAGCAGCTGAGAATTACTTTGAAAAACATCTGTTGAAAATCTTGGTCCTACAGAAAATGAAAATGTTGTAGAATTCTGGTCCCAATACAGTGCTATGTTTCCAGAAAATGAACTTGTGGAGAACCAAGATTTACTGATTTCCTTGCCTTTATAATCAGTCATCAAATCATATCATTTATCTTCCATAGCATCTTCTTTCTTAATTTCTGTGCCACTGGTCCACTAATTATCTGTAGTAATGAATCACAACCAGAGCCATTTTATTCCCATTTAATGCCCCAACTAACTCATTTCTCTCAGTCTTCCACTCCCAACAATACTAGCAGGCATCAAATTTCCAGCCTTGGCCA
>NT_167244.2:3816276-3840450 GCF_000001405.40 Homo sapiens
GGCCGTGGTGGGACCCTTGTGCCCCATATCCCCTGTGCCTCGCGTCACTGAGGCAGCTGACTGCACTGACCCCACTCTTGAACAGCCAGCAGGACCGCCTCCAGGCCCAGAGCCTTCACTCCTGCGTTGCTGCTCTCACCCTGCAGTTGTGGGGAGGGCATGGAGCTGGGGCCACCCTTCAGTGACCCGGGGTGGGACATGGGAGTGGCCTCACTTTGAGGACCCGGCCAGCGGCAAGGCCGCTCTCCCGCCCTGCCAAGGGCGCCCAGTTCCTGCGCCTCAGGAAGAGGCTCTGCTTGAGGCCGTCCAGGGTTTTGTCCCCGCGGGTGGCCACCCAGCCTGATGCTCCTGACAGCCAGGCCCGGGCTGGGATCTGTTCCCCAAGGTGCCTCCCCCGCCCCATCCAGGCGAGAAGGAGCCCCGGGCACCCTGAGTGCTAGCAGAATAACTTGCAGAGACATCACCCTTGCCCCACATGCTGGCCTGCGCCCAGCGAGGGGAGCTGCCCACCCCAGGCTGCCAGAAGGTGTGACAGGGGATACCTGCAGGCTCCACGGAATGGGTTGGAAACCCCACCCTCCCGGCCCTCCCCGCAGGCAACAGGATCCAGGCCTCTCTACACTCCACTCCCTCAAGGCTGAGAAGGCCCTCCTGTCCATGCAGCCTTGGGGGTGTCTGTTCCCACTTTCTGGCCTCTCCCTTGGCCTCACTCGGGTCCCAGGTGCCCACTCTGATCTCAGAGTGGAGTTGGGGCAAAGCCCCAGTGCTGTCACAGACTGGCTGGGTGTGTGCACGCTCAGGGCAGTGTTGACACACCAGCCTTTTGCCACCTCAGTCACAGGGAAGCCAAGGGAAGATGGGCATGTAATATTTGAAGTAAGTTTCTTATAGGGAGCATGTCGAAGAGTCATTGCTTTTCACTCTGGCATTTGTCTTTTTACACACTTTACATGTAATGCAGTTATTAATATGTGAGCTCTTATGACTGCCATCTGTTTTTTGTTTTCTTTTTTGTTTCCTTTGGTTTTTTCTTCTCTGGTTTCTTTTCCTATTTTCCAATGTGTTCCTTAAGCAATTTTTAGAATTCCATTTTTGAATCAATCTTTTTTTGGTGTATCTCATTGTATAGTTTTCGTGATTTATCTGTCTGTTAACATAACTTATCATAGTCTACTGGTGCTGACATTTTACCAATTTGACTAAAGTGTGGAAACTTTACCTCCTTTATATCCCTTTCCACTTCTGCATGTGTAATATATATGTTTTATTTTCTCTACTTGCATCAAAACCACATCTATCAATGTTGTAATTTTTGCCTCAACCATCAAGTTAATTTACAAAACTGAAGAAGTCTGTTGTATCTAACCATATTTTTACTCATTTGTTGTTTACTTTTTTCCCAATTGTCCAAGATTTCTTCCATTATCATTTCTATTCCAGTTAAAGCACTTCCTTTAGCCCTTGTTTTAACATAAGTCTCCTAGCATGAAATTCTCTTGATTTTCCTTCCTTTAAGTATGTCATGGCCAGGCGCAGTGGCTCACGCCTGTAATCCCAGCACTTTGAAAGGCCAAGGCAGGCGGATCCCATGAGCTCAGGAATTCGAGACAAGCCTGGGCAACATGGCAAAACCCTGTCTCTGCCAAAAATACAAAAAATTAGCCAGGCGTGGTGGTGTGTGTCTGTAATTCCATCTACTCAGGAGGCTGAGGTGTGAGGATCACATGAGCCTGGGACGCAAAGGCTGCAGTGAGCCGTGGTCGCGCCACTGCACTCTAGCCTGGGTTTTTTTTTTTTAGATGGATGAAAACTCCATCTAAAAAACAAAAAACAAACAAAAAAAGAAAAGTAAAAGGAAAAAAAAGTCATGATAGAACATTTTATAATAATGTTTTTACTGGATATACATTCTAGGTTAACATTCCTTTCAACCATTAAAATATCTTGTGCCACTTCTGTCTGGTCTGCCTGATTTCTAATGAGCAATCCACTGTCATTTAATATATTTTCTCCTGTGCATGAGATGTCCTTTCTCTCTTGTTGCTTTTGAGATTTTTTTTGGCATAAATTTCTTTGGATTTATTTTCATTTGGGTTTGCACAGATTCTTGAATTTTTACATTTAAGCCTTTGTCCAAATTTGGAAAGTAGTCAGTCTTCCTTCAAGCACTCTTTGGGCATCACCCATTTGTCATTTCCCTCTAAGACTCCAGTAACACAAATTTCATACCTTTTGTTATAATCTTACAGATTTATCAGCATGAAATCATACTAAATATTATGAAAAACTTTACAACATAAATATGCATGTAATAAATAATTCAAAATGTACAATGTACTGTGCATGTAATGAATAAATTATTCAAAATGTACAATGTACTGAAGCTGACAAATAACATAAAATAGGAACAGTTCCACATCTCGTAGAGAAAGTAAGTCCATTCTATAAAGCTTTCCCAAGACAAAACCCTAGGTTCATCTAGCTTCAGTAACTACTTAAAAATATTTAAGGAACAAACAACATTAACTTTATACAAACTTCAAACATATTTGAAAAAAGGAAAAGCACTTGCAATTACGTTTGATGAGATCTGTGTAAACTTTACTTCAAGACCTGAAGGGAACTCTATAACAAATAGGAATTAAGAGACCAATAACTCTTATGAGCCAAGTTCTTAAGGAAATATTAGCCAAGTGAATTCAGTGATATAAAAGATGGCTACTATATCATGACCAAGTGGAGGTTATTCCAGAAATGTAAGGTTGTTTGAGCATTTGAGAATCAGTTAGTGTGATTCATGACATTAACTGAAGGAAGGAGAATACACATGCAACCAACTGAATAGAGTCATGAAATACGATTTGACAGAATTCAGCACTTGGCCTTAATTTTCCCCCACTTTCGCTGTGCTCCTGCTCTCACCATGTGATACCCGGGCTCCCCTTTCCTTCCCCCATGATTGTTAGTTTCCTGAGGCCCTCACCAGAAGCAATTGCCAGCACCACACCTCCTGTACAGCCTGCAGAACCCTGAACCAGTGAAACCTCTTTTCTTTATGAATTACCCAGCCCCAGGTATTTCTTTCTGGCAATGTAAGAATGGACTAACATAATTATGCTCTATCATGGACAAATAGAAAACAAAACCAAGAAAATAATTTTATCAACTTCCTCACCTCTTTGCTTTTTTCTTCTACTTTTTTCAACTTAAATTTGCTTCTTTTTATTATTAAAAGTTTACACCTTTGATTTTTACATATTTATCCCTTTATAATACAGGCATTTAAAACTAAATATTTTTCTCTAAGGACTGCCTTGGTTGCATCTTGAAAATTTTTAAAATTCATTTTAATATTATTTTATTTAAAATTATTTTCTAATTTCCTTCTGATTTCCTCTTTGACAAGCCATAAATTATTTAGAAATGTATTATTTTAGTTCCAAAAATTTAGGCAGTTTTCTCAATCTTACTAATTTGTAATTTGATAAGATTGTGTTCAGAGAATATACTCTGTATGATTTTATTCTTGTAAAAGTACTGAGTCTAGTTCTATAGTCATAGTATTTGTTCTATTTCATGAATTATCTTTGTGCAATGCAAATAAATAAATATTTTGTAGTTATCAGATGTTGTCAATTTATGTCAATTATAAATGCCAACTAAGTCAAGATGGTTGAAAGTATTGTTCCTATCTTGATTTCCTTCCTGATCTTTGCATGAAGCTAGAGAGATGTTTGTTGTCTTCTGTCTACGTCCCTAGTTCCCACACAACCAGCATGAAGTCAGAAAAAGTTCTGGAAAGAGAATCAGCTGACAGGGTAAAGTAGATATGTATTATTCAGGGGCCCTCTATAGATTGTAATGCATCACACAAGCCCACGGGGCTATTTACAACTCAGCTGGTTTGTCCTTGCTCTCTCACAATCTCCCTTTCTCAGCCAGGCTTAATCTTCCACCCATGTTAAGATTCAGTAGATGGACCAAAGAATAAGAGTGGACACTTGTCCCTGCTCACCTAAGTGGGATTTGTTCATCTCTGGAATTTGGAATTTTTATACTTTTTGATCCACAGCTGGTTAAAATTTTAAAAATAAGATTATTTTCCAGTTTATCCATTTAGTTTAGTCTATATATCTTTTTGCTCTTATAGTAACAGTGACAATTCTTATAATTTTCCACCTCCTCACTGCATTGTGGTTTAATATTTTTTCCAATCTATGTTGATAGTCCTACATAATTTACTTAAAGCCCTGAATATTTTTCCTTTGTATGGCTATACCACAGTTTACCTTTCTTATATCTAAATGTAGAGAATGTTTCTTTTCTCCCCTGTTACATTTTTTTTATGTCATCATGGATATATGAGGAAGAATTTACTGAGACTGTAACAACCTAGAGTGGAAATACTGTATTATCCAAACTACTCACAGGGTTACACCAATATATGCTCACCGTGCCCCATACAGCACCAGATGTCATCCTGCAGTGTGCTGTCACTTCACATGCTGCATAGTTTTTAGGATGTACAAAATTTTTATAATCAAGACAAATTAATCAGTTTTTCTTTTTGAATCTGGAAATGTTTTTGTTATTCCAAACCGTGGCTCAACAAACGACCAATTTTATGTCTCCTTGGGCTCATGTAGGATTGTTCTTTAAGACGGATGTTAAAATGAGATTTTTGTTGTTTTCATCAGCATATAATAACTGTATTTTGAGTTTTAATAGACACTACTACACTGCCATAACTCAAAATCCTAATAATATGAGAGAGTCTATTCCCTTAGAATCTTGATTTTAAAACAAACTATTGTACTTGTCAATTGTGGAGTGGGAGAAATAGTTTATTACACTGCTGTTTGAATTTGGATTTTTCTGTTCATTGGTGCGTTTGAGCAAATATTTATATTTATTGGCTATTTGAATATTCTCTTCTATAGTGAGTCTATATCCTTTGCCCAATTATCTATGGCATTTCCATGAATTTATTTATTGATTAGTTAACAATTTTTCTAAGAAAGTTAGCCCATTGTCTGCCTTACGTGATCAAATTTTTCCTGAGCGTCATATACTTCTTTTAATTTTGTTATTTTCTTCATGCAAATAAATCAGTAATCTTCTTCAAATATTTTTTCATTTGTATCTTTTGGATTTTATCTTGCTTACAAAGTCTTATTTTTAAAAAAAGAATTATTTTAACACGCTTACTAAAGCATAATTTACATACTACAAAATTCACTCATTGTGTTCACAGCCACGGTTTGGAATACTACAAAATTCACTCACTGTATATGTAAAATTGAATGATTTGAGTAAATTAATAGATTTGTGCAATTATCACAACAATCCATTTTTAGAACATTTCTGTCATGTCCCAAATTTCTCTATTTATAGTTAAGTCCCACTGAGACCCCAAACCCTAGGCACCCAGTGATCTGCTTTTGTGTCTATAAATTTACCTTTTCTAGATATTTCAAGTAAATGAAATCATATGACATGTAATCTTTCGTGTCCAATTTCTTTCACTTAGCTAACATTATTGAAGTTCACAAGTTTTGTAGTATGTATCATCATTTTGTGTTTTCATTTCTTTTTGTCTTTTTTCATGTGTGTAAATTTATAAGGTACAAGTGTAGTTTTGGTACCTGCATAGATTGCATAGTGGTGAAGTCGGTGTTTCCACAGTATCCATCACCCAAATCACATGCATTGTATCCATTAAGTAATGTCTCATCATCCGGAGTGCAAGGGTGGAAACCTGCTTTGGGAAAACTACCGTGATGTTCATGGTATCTCCGCTGCCAGATGAGTCTAGTTTTGCCCCCTTTTATTGTTGAATGACATTGCCTTGCCTGGATGTAGTTGAATTTTGTTTATCTATTTACTAGTTGAAGGATATTTGGATTGTTTTCAGTTTTGGCCTACTATGGCTAAGGCTGTTCTGAACCCTAACATATATCTTTGTGAGGACATACGTTTTTATGTCTCTTAGGTAGATTCCAAGGAATGAGATTGCTGGGTCATAAGGCAAACATATGTTAAACTATTTAAGAAATTGCCAAATTATCAGGTATTTGTAAACTCATATACTCCCACCAGCAACGCATAAGGGTTTAGAAAGTCTATTTGTCTTCAAACATAATTATAATGATGATGACAGTATTAGAAATAACATCTGTCTTGGTAATTTTATATTTTCTCTTTATGTTTCAAGTTTTATTTATCCAGGATCTATTTAGTGAAAGAAATGAGTTTGGAATACAACTTACAAAAACTGAAACTAAATCTCAACTCTTTCTGTTTCTAATTCTAGACTCTGTTTTATTAACATATTTAATTAAAAAAATCAGTAACAAATGCATTTCTAAAAGTAAATGTATAGTGTGTTTTAGTGCCTTACAGAGCTATTCATTCCTTATTCTACTTTTTTTCAATAATTTCCCTGGAAAATACATTTACCTCATAAAATAACATGTCAGAATACTTAATTGAGTTCTAAAAACAATCCTATTTGCTTGCTTTTTTGTTCTATTGTAATTGAGTTAATGGCTGACATTTAATAACTCTCTCTATATGTGTGTGTGTATATATATGTGTATATATGTGTGTGTATACATATATATACACACATATATATTTGCATATGTATGTGTGTGTATATATATGTATACACACACACATATATACACACACAGATATATATATATATATATATGCACACACACATATATATATATATATAAAGACCCAAAACCCTGAATTGAGGGTGCCTGTCAGGAATCTATAGGCCTTCGTGTGGAAGTTAACTCAAATACTTACGACCTGATAGTACCACAATCTATCATTTCCCTACCCTGAAATCAATTTCTGCTACTCCAGCCACCATTTCTTTATTTTTAAAAATATTTGATTTTGCTCCTTTTCTTCCCATGTGCATCAGGCCGACTCTGCAAAGGTTGCATCCTGGCTTGTCTGAGCCCGTGTGATCCCACAGTCGTTCCAATGCATGAGAAAGTGGGTACTGGGAACAATCTGGAAACAGTTTAGTTGCTCCTTCTAAAGGCACACAGGAGAAAGGAGTATCCTTTTCCTGCCTCTGGGAGTTGTTGTGAATGAATAACAAACCTAAAGCTGCTGCAGGGGTCACCCTACCATCTCAGGAAAGCTGAGATACTGTGTGTGATAGAGAGATGAGCTATGAAGTTCCAGGATTGCTGGTGATGCCACTGGCCTGCTGAGTTGAGCAACCCTGAAGACGCCCAGTCTTGGATCTATCAGCTATGTGAGATAATGGGTTAAAGAAAAATAAAGCCCACTAGATGTAATTTCCTGTTATTAGCAGCAGAAGGCATCTTCATTGAAATATTCATTCCACACATTTTGGTTCTACCTTGTAATTCCACACCACGAGTCTCATATAAAATGAGAAAATCATTTCCTCAACTTAGGAAATGAGGTCTCTTTGTTGCATCTCTGTGATCAAACAGAACAGACATAATTATCAGCTTAATATATTTCTATAGGATTTATACTCTTACAGGATTTATATGTACTTGTACTGCTACTTATGTACAAGTAACATATAACTAAAAATAAAATATGCATAAAAACTTTTGATTGAAAATAAAATAACAGTCGTCTCTGTCAGTGGAGAAATTATGCTCAAATGATTATTACTTTGAAATAGACCTCTGAATTATGTACTTTTATATTTGACATTTCATACTGACTCTCAGGTAGAACATAATGGAGACTCCATTCTCCGTCTTCTAAATGTGTCTTTCTCTGAAATCTGTACAAGTCCTTTGATAACACTATATTATTGAAGTCTCTGGAGTGAAACACTATACACTAATTTACAGTTATAAATACAAAATATTGTAGATGGGGTGAAGAGTTCTGATTGACTTGCTGGCTGGTTTCTCATCGGTTTGCCAAGTTTGTTTCAGTTGTTATAGTCTGTTCTCAGTTTTTATGCACTGCCTTTTTAAATGTTAGCATTACTTTTTTAATTGACAAGTAAAAATTGTATAGCATATTTATGTGGAAGCATGAAGTTTTGTTATATGCCTATAGTGTGGAATGACTAAATCATGGTATTTAACATATACATTACCTCACATACTCATGACACACACGTGAAAATCATTATTCTGTTAGGAAATAATCTTCCCTTTTTCTTTTCTTTTCTTTTCATTTTTTGTCTTTGGAGCCAAATGGACCAGATGATATTTAACTCCATCTTTGAGAAACATTTAATAATGTAATGTGTTTGTGGTACAGGGTGAGTACAGATGCACAGGAGGCCATAGGGTTTAGGCAAAGGGGAGCACAAAAGTTGAAGATGAGGCGCTGCCATCAATGCTGGGACTTCAGGCCAAGGGCAGGAACTGAGGAAGCCACAAGGGAGGACATTTTCTGCAGTTGCTGAACCAGTAGCAACTAGGTCCTGAGAAAGCCCTCTCTCGTGGAAGAATAACAGCCAGGCGGGAAAGCTTTTCATCCTGCAAAGCTGGGGAAGAAGATTCTTCCTTAAATTGTCATCTGCACTTCAGCTCAGGAATCCTGCAAAAGACAGAGGAGAGTGTTGTTTTCAACCTGGCTCTACTAACGTTTCTTTCCCCCTCTTTGAAGGACTCAGATGAGAACACTGCAGGAAGAAGAAAAACAAGTTCCTGAGTCTCCCAGAGCCAATAGTCCTGCAGAGCACAGGCCTTTTTTAAGTGGAGAGGAGGAGTTTTGGTGTAAATTGCCTGATCAGAAATTTGGATCCAAAGTCTTTCCTATTATTTCTGTCTCATGCCTTATCACCTCTACCATCATTCTAGTGTGTCCTGAGTTTGTTCCTTCCGGTAGGTTCAGGGTCTGGCTGACTTCAAGAGTGAAGCCACAGACCCTTGCAGTGAGTGTTATAGCTCTTAAAGGTGGCACGGACCCAAAGAGTGAGCACAAGATTTATTGTGAAGAGTGAAAGAACAGACCTTCCACAGCATAGAAAAGGACCTAAGCAGGTTGCCGGTGCTGGCTAGGGTGACCAGCTTTTATTCCCTTATTTGTCCCTGCCCGTATCCTGCTGATTGGTCCATTTTAAAGAGTGCTGATTGGTCCATTTTACAGAGTGTGGATTGGTCCATTTTACAGAGTGCTGATTGGTCCATCTTACAAACATCTAGCGAGCCACAGAGTGTCAATTTTTACAGAGCACTCATTGGTGTGTTTTTACAGAGCACTCATTGGTGCATTTAGAAACCTCTTGTAAGACAGAAAAGTTCTCCAAGTCCCCACCCAACCCAGAAGTCCAGCTGGCTTCACCTCTCACTGGAGAAACTGAATCTGTGTCTAAAAGAGGATTAAAAGGTATTACCTGTTGGCTGAAGTCCAGAGTGTCCTGGGAAAAAGAGGAAAAGATATACACTTAAAAGATATTGAAGCAAATCTGTCCTCCAACACAATATCCCAGTCCCAGATCTCCCACCGGAGAGTTCTAACACCAAAACCCACACCAACCAGGGCAGAGAGGAGCAGAAACAGACCATGTGACCCATGAAGCATGAAGTGTCTGTCACAGGATCCAGTGTAATTCCATTAACTTTAGTGGCTCTTCCTTAATTTGCTCCAAGATCTCAAACCAAAGGACCCCTACTTGTTAACCTTCCTCTTGTCTCTGCAGGCCACAAGCTATTATGCTTTCACATAGTAACCATGCACTGATGATTTCTGGATTAGCAGGACATTAGAGCCGTTTGGGGAAAGAAAGGCTTTATTCAGGGCCACTCATATACTGAGAACTAACCTCAGCAAAGCCATAGTTCCTCCTCCAGAAAAGCCTATGGAGAGAGCCAGCTACCAAAGACTCCTTACCTTTCTGATTCCTGAAGTAGATGAACAGCCCGGCCCCAAGGAAGAGCAGGCCCAGCACAAAGCCCCCGACTCCACTCAGCATCTTGCTCTGTGCAGATTCAGACCGTGCACCTGAGAGAGGAAGCCAGGTTTAGTGATGCTTATTCCAGATTGAACCTCTTTACTTGAGACTCTAAGATTCAGAGCTTTGAAAATGGGGAAGAAGGCTGCCCCACAAGAACTAAAATAACTAGCCATTTCGGGAGAAAAAAAGGATTTCAAATCACACTGAACAGTTACAAGGTTCCGACATCAAACTCATTCAAATATTACAGCCTTGATGTAAGGCAAGAGTTCAACATCTGATCCACAGAAAGCCTGAGACTCAATGAAGCTAAGTAGTTTGTCTAGAGTGACAGAGCTAATAAAAGGTAGAGCTGAGATTGGACTCCCCTCATGTCAGGTAGGCCCCTATGCTTCCCCTCTTCCCAGATCAAAACAAGTAACTCAGAGCAGCAGCACCAGAAACTCAGTCTCAGACCCAGAAGCAGGGCCTGGAGCTTGGGGAGATCGGGTGACCCTGACCTGTGACATCATGGGGAGGTTCAAAAAAAAAAAAGCATGACTGATTCCACAGGGAGTACAGGTGTTTCTACACACTGTTACAGGGCTATCCCCAGTGACCTGTGCTGATGGAGATGAGAACATGGAGCAAATGAAAATAGGACGTGGGAGAGGAGAAACCTGACACTCAGGGATTAGCACAGTCCCCTTCTTGGTGGGTGAGAAATGTATGAAATCAGAAAGCTGCTCACTCCATTCCACTGTGAGAGGGCTCGTTACGCTTGGGTGCTCCACTTGGCAGGTGTAAACCTCTCCACTCCGAGGAACTGTTTCTAGCATCACCAGGGTCTGGAAGGTCCAGTCTCCATTCTGGATCAGGCCCGTGGACACCACCCCAGCCTTCTCTTCCTGGCCGTTCCGGAACCACCTGACTTCAATGCTGCCTGGATAGAAACCACTCACAGAGCAGACCAGGAGGTTGTGGTGCTGCAGGGGCTGGGTCTTTGCAGGATACACAGTCACCTGAGGATGGACTAGGAGAAAAAAAGGTAGAGGGAATGAGTCAGGAAGACAGAGTAATTCTGCTGGTTTGGCTGTTTGTCTGCTTCTCTGCAAACCCAGGCTCTGACCTTGACCAGGCCTCCAGCACAGCTGGCCATGTGGCCTTACAGTGTCATCAGCCTGGAATTTAATCTTGATAGTGAGGACCCATTAGATTTGAGAGATGTGAAAAATTGCGTTTGCTTCTTCATAACTTGAAATTGGCATGCATTGTCAAAGTGTTTACAAATTTTTGAAAGTACAGAGTGTAGTAATTAAAACTGATATCTGAGCCAGGTTGCCTGGTTCAAATCCAAGGTCTGCCTTTTACTGGTTGATCCTGGAAGAGTTGATTCTTCTGTGTCTCAACTTTGTCACCCCCAATGAAGGATAATTATACTAATTTACCTCTTGGGGTTACATGAGGATTAATTTATGTAAAATACATAATGACTGAAGATAGCCTTCAATTTATGAGATCAGAAAGCTTCTCACTCCATTCCACCGTAAGGGGGCTCATCACACTTGGGTGCTCCACTTGGCACCTATTTATCATCCTTGTACTCCGTGACAGAAAAATATGATTTAAAGCAATGTACATAGACAAAGGGACAGAGTTGGGTACATGAGAAAACCGAGTATGAATTTTTAGGAATACTACTGCCATGCACTCACACCTTAGAACACCACAGAAATGGTTCTGCCCCTGGGAAGGTGGGACAGACAGAAATGATTCTCCAAATTTTTACGTTCCTAGAAAAGCATGAGTCCTAAAGCAGACAGAAGGATTTAGGAGCGTCATTTTAGTTTTGAAAGTTCTTATATTTTCATTCAGCTGCTCAATGTATCCCCCGTGCAACACAAGCAGAATTATTATCAGGCCAGTTGTAAAATGATTTTTCTTTCCAGAATCACATTTGGATTAAGGCAGGGTCTGGAACTCATTACTTGTGGTGCTTATGCCCAGGAAAATCCCCGACATTAGCATACTCTCAATAAATACAATGTTTTTAGAAGTAAGGAGAAACCTAGAGACAAAAATACCACAAAATGGCAGATTTAAGATGGATTGTAAATCATTAATAAAATTTTTGCAATACATTTTATTAAATAAAAATGTTCAAATTCTTAACATGGAAAAGAATTTTCAAAATCAACATACAAACCACAAACTGGAGCAAATGCTGAATCAAATATCAATAAAGTGTTAATAATCTTACAGTACAAAGAACCCACAAAGTCACTGAGAAAAATACTAAGCCCTAGAGATATTAGGCAGTAGATCATTGTCCATTACCTACCAAATAAAATAGGGAATTCTTAGAGCAGTTATTAAAATTGACCAATAAATCGGTCAAAATAATTCAAAAGAACTCTTTTGAATGAAAAACAGACCTCTCCACATTTTTTCAAATGAAAAAATATAAATTAAAAATTAACCAGAAACATACATTTTCAACTTTTGGTGAATGTCATAATAAAGGTCAACAAAGGGGAAAGTGATCCCTAAGTTGTGTCACAACTATTATATATAAAAGAATAATATGTAACTACTAGAAAACTATTAGCATTATAATAATACAGTAATTGTGTTAAAACTTTAATTCAAAAGTTAGTTTCACTGTCATTTCTACTATGTAAAAATATACACACTAGAAAAACAAAAAACTAGCAAGAAATTTATACCTAAAGAAGTTTCAGAGGTGCCTTAGAGGTCTACTCAATTCCCCTAGAACTTAATCTAATGCTTTTACAAACAGCACAAACTTTTATTTCAGAGATTACATGAAGGGTGTGTGCCAGGGACAGTCTGGAACCGGCCTCCTCACATTATCCCAAACCTTCCTTACCCCTCAGCTCTCCTCCCCTAAACCTTCACCCCACCCACACACACCTTACACTTTCCTTCCCTGCATCTCTAAGGACCCAGGACAATCAAGGTCTCCTCTCTCTCCAGCCGCCCGCACCGACCTCCCTTGTCACCTCTCCACAGAAGTCTCCAAGGATAAGAAGCAGCCCCCTCCTGCTTTCCCTCCCACAACAGGCACACAGACACAGACAAATCCACACTCTACACACACACCTGTGCCTTCAGAACTGCTTGCTCGGGATTGAGAGGATTCTAAATGCTCACAGATGGCGCGCTCCCTCTCTCTGTCTCTCTCTTCCTCTCTCTCTCTCTCTCTCTCTCTCTCACACACACACACACACACACACACACACACACACACACACACACACTCTCAGATTTCCAGCTCACAGGGACCCAGGCCCCGCCCCCCGACATGCTCACCTCGCCGCTGCACTGTGAAGCTCTCACCAACCCCGTAGTTGTGTCTGCAGTAATTGTCCACCTGGCCCCGCTTCTGCTCCAGGAGGTCCTTCTGGCTGTTCCAGTACTCGGCATCAGGCCGCCCCAGCTCCCTCACCGCCCGGTACTCCCCCACGTCGCTGTCGAAGCGCGCGTACTCCTCCTGGTTATGGAAGTGTCTCTCCAGGAACCGCACCCGCTCCGTCCCATTGAAGAAATGACACTCAGACTTAAGCAGCTCCAAGAAACGTGCTGTGGGGACACGAATGCTCCGGTCACACAGGCGGCCTCCTGAGAAGACACTGACAGCGACGCCGCCATCCGGGGCCCCCTGGGCCGGGTGCGGGCACTGGGAACCTTAACCGGCCCCCCCCGCAACGCCCACCACCAGCAGCCCAGGAGCTCATCCTCCGTTTTCCTGAGGCGAACGGGGGCCTGGGGGACTATGCGGGGAAACCCCTTCTCATCCCCAGGCTTTTGGGACCCCCCATCCCTGCCTCCAGCTTGTTCTGGAGACCTCCAAGCAGGAGCTGGAGGAGGATCCGCCCAGCACCGCAGCCCGCCCCTCCTCCTCCTGGGAGCCTCCACCCGAAAAACACTCTCTGCTCCTTCTCTCATCCCACATGTTTACCGGTTCCTTAAACAGCACCCACCGCGTTCATCCTGTGAACACTTTCTTAGTGATGACCTTGTGTCTGGCCTGCGCTGCCTCTAGGAATCCAAACAAGGGAAAACAGACCTCTCCACTCCGCTGGGGGAGCTTAAAGAGCAGTGAAAGCGATGGCCAAACACCAAACACACAAGAGGTTAGACAGGAATGAGAAATCTCGGAAGTGGGAAGTTCTAGAGCAGAGAATAATAGGATGATCTCAATTACATTAGGGTGCCAGAGAAGGACCCTCTAAAGAGTGACAGTTCAGATGTGACTTGACGGGTTAAGCAGGTGTGAGCCAGGGGGCAGAGTGGAGCCCGTGTCTGTTTGGACAAAACGGGAGGCACATTTCAGGTTTAGGAAATCCCATCTACAAAAGCTTGAATTGATGAACTTCTTCAAAAAACTAGGAGAAAGTTCACTAAAGCAGAGAGGCTGAGGGGAAGGAGGGTAAAAGATTAGCCTGGAGAAATCACAAGAAGCCAGGTATTTAAAGCCTCGTGGGTGGGGTTAGGATTTTGGATTTATAGTAAGACAATGGTAAAGTATCGAAGAGTTTAAAGGACAATAAAACCATGATCCCTGTAAATGTCCACAAACTTTCCTTTGCATTTCTAAATTCACAAAGCTCAGAAATTCAGTTTAAAAAACTTGTTTCCACAACTCATTTGGCAAATCTCATCTGATAAGGGTAAGTGGTCAAAGGTGTCTCAGAGCTCTTATTGGCGACATGTGCTTCTGTAGTTTCCATACATATAAACATACATACATATATGTGTGAAAATAGACACCTATGTAAAACACAGTATATATTTTTGATGTTTTTGTCTTTATGTTTGAAGTGTGTAAATGACAAAAATAACTTAAAAATAATCCTTGGGTAAAAGTGAAATGAGTACATAGAAGCATTTTACATTGTGAATAATATAAAATGTAGAATCACTACAGAAATCTGAGGCATGTTAGTGAGAAATAATTTCAGCAGCATCACTATTTGTGACTTACAAGAGCAAGTTGTTGAAAGTTAATAGAGATGGTGATGACCAACAACTCATGAAAATGTTGAAAAATATTGCATAAGGCAAAAACTAAATATGAAAATACTGAGCTTGCATTGACTAAATGGATTCAACAAGAAAGTGGTTAAATTTATGCAACTGTCTAATTTTTTATAATGGAAGAAGCAAAAATAAACTATGAAAAACTGAACTGTGTGGTGAGTGTATAACAGATGTGAGTGTAGAATTTTCAGAAAGAGCACAGCGTGAAGCAGTGCTCTCAGCCTCAGCACTATTGACATTTTGGACCAGATAATTCTTTGTTGATGGCGGAGGCTGTTCTGAACATTGTAGGTTCTCTAGCAGTGTTCCTGGCTTCTACTCATTAAATATCAGAAGAAACCCCTGTTGTGACAACCAAAAATTTTTCCAAACATTGTCACTGTTCCCCAAGGATGATGGGAGGGAAGGGAGGGGTGGTGAACTATCCCTGGGTAAGAACCACAGGTGTGAACCATCTAAAAAAATCTGTGTTGAACAAGCTACTATTAGTTATGGAGCAGCTGAGAATTGTATTGAAAAATATTTCTTGAAAATCTTGGTCCTATGTAAAAAGAATGTTTTGTAGAATTCTGGTCCCAATGCAGTGCTATCTTTTCAGAAAATGAACTTGATGAGAACCAAGATTTAATGATTTCCTTGCCTTACCAAGCAGTCACTAATCATATCATTTATCGTTCACATCATCTTTTTTCTTAATTTCTCCGCCACTGGTCCACTAATTATCTATAGTAATGAATCACAACCACAGCTATTTTATTCCCGTTAAATGCCCCAACTAACTCATTTCTCTCAGTCTCCCACTCCCAACAATACTAGCAGGCATCACATTTCCAGCCTTGGCCAGAGGCAGAACTCTTGGTTTTGTAGTCAAGTCCCCTCAGAAAGGGAGAAACCAAGAAAATGACATTCTGATACAGACAGTTTCAAAACATGAGCAGGTCCCCAGACTGTGAGCAAGACCTGCAGAAATCTCCGTTTGCCCTTTAGAAACGATGGCAGAGAGGTGTCCACCCTGGATCAAACAATGGCTATCTTTTTATCACCAAATTATCTAAGCACTTTCTTACAGAGAGAAAGTTAAAATGTAAACATGTGTGAAGTTGCTGTCACTGTGGCTTGCATGGGTAGCACTGTAATCCATGTCCATGTGTCTCACTTAGAGTTGACAGATTTGGCAAATAAAACCAGAGGGTGCCCAATTAAATTTGGATTTCCAATAAATTATGGTCGTGTATCTGAAATTCAGATTTAACTAGGAACATGTATTTTATTTGGTAACTCTTGCCCAATTTGCTAGTCAAACCTCAGAAGGAGGAGTGATTTAATACTTCCTTGTGTTTGTCAACACATGACCATTATAGACATACTGAACTTTTAAAATGATAAATGCAAAATGATTAAAAGTTTCTCCTGTACATTGGAACTAGCAGCCCTTGCATCTCTGTCCCCACTCAAAGAAACAACCTGGTATATATGAATATCAGAAATTCTGTCAATAATTCAGACACAATATAGTCACTACTCCCTAATGATGGAAAAACTCTCAAACTCTACAATCAGAAAATCTGAATAAAAAGGTGACCTCTTCTACTTGGGTCAATTTTTGCCAACAGTAAGCCTTTTTGTAATCTATCAAATGCATTTAATAATAGCATAATCCTCACAGGATTACTGTTAAGTGTCAAATTAAATGATGACTCTTCTTAGCACTGATCACATAATAAACACTCAAATACATTCCCATTTTCACTTTTATGATCCCTATAACTGTAACTCACATTATTTTTTGTATTCCTTAATTCTAAAGCAATTAGTATCTTCATCATGATTTTGCAATTGTCTTCTGTTCTTCTATGAGTTTCATAAAGAATTGTCATTCTGAAAACATAGGGCAGAAACACTGGTTTATGTCTAATAATGTAGTATACCTAAGCCTCACATAAAAGGCATCTGCTGACATAGAAGAAAGGGACTTTCTATATGCTCAGATTTAAACTGCAATCTGATTTCCAGCACTAAATTTCTAATACTGGGTTTTACTTATAATCCCTCAATTTTAGATTCCAGAGATGTATATGTTTTTAAATACCACAGATACAGCAGGATCATTATTGAAATTGCATACAGAAATTCACAGGCCTGGTACACAGTCACTGCAAACTGTTACATGGCATATACTGATGGCGAGCGGATTCATTTTATTTATCACCATTCTCATGACCTAGAGTAATAACTGGTATATTCTATGTCACTAATAAATATTGGCTGTGTGACCTTTTGCATGAGTAGTCACCACTGCACACAGGGGATCTCCAGTATTTCCTTGCTAATGACTGAGCATCTCTTGTTCACAGGTCCTCCTCTGTCTCTTTAGCTTCTTTAGCCTTTTCCTTTAGATTCAGCGGGCTTCCTGAACCCAGAGCACAGTCCTTCCGGAAGTTCTACTCAAAACAGTCAACCTTAACCTCGTCCTCACTTCTACTCGCTCTTCAAATGGTCCAATCCAGTTTCCTCCCTGGATACTCCATTGACTGCAAATATCAACTCCAGCAAACCCAGCACTTGCTTCTCTGTCAAGTTCTCACTTCCCCCTCCGCTTAGTGGTACTCACCACAATTGGCCTCTCCCTTCTCCTTGAAAAAAATCTATTTTCCTTGACTTACACTCATTATGTTCTCTTGGTTTTTCTCCAACATCCCTGGGCTCTGTCTCAGCTGCCTTTGCTGGCCTGTGCCCTCTTCTTTTTTCTCCACACAATCCATCTCCCTATGTATCCTCTTCCACTCCCTAGAATTTAACACACTACACGTATTGATGCTGCCAACATAAATATCTGAAGCCCTAGCCTCACCATGAGTCTCTTAAATGCCACTGACCTTCTGATTGCTCTACATAAATGTCAATAAATCATCTCAAATTTAAACAAAACTTTTATTTCCAACCACCCACTTCAAATCATTTCCTCCCATAGTTTTTCCTATCTCAATAAACAAAACTACCACCCACTTATTTGTCAAAACAAAATCCTCAGGAATAAACTTGATTGTTCCACCCCCTTTACAGTAATTCATTAACAAGCTAAGCAAAAATACATGCGAAGTCTGTCCACTTTATCTTTTTCACCGTCTTTATCACTAATGCACTCCATGAAGCCACAAGCCTGTTTTCCCTGGAGAATTCCCTGCTGTGCTCCTAAATAGTCTTCCTAACCACTTGTGAACCCCAACAATCCAATCCCCACAAAGTAGCTAGAATTAATTGTAATAATTGAATATAAGCTGGGCGCAGTGGCTCATGCCTGTAATCCCAGCACTTTGGGAGGCCGAGGCGGGTGGATCACAAGGTCAGGAGATCGAGCCCATCTTGGCTAACATGGTGAAACCCCATCCCTACTAAAAATACAAAAAGTAGCCGACTGTGGTGGCATGCACCTGTGGTCCCAGCTACTCAGGAGGCTGAGGCAGGATAATTTCTTGAACCCGGGAGGCGGAGGTTGCAGTGAGCCGAGATTGTGCCACTGCAATCGAGCCTGGGCAACAGAGTGAGACTCCATCACACACACACACAAAAGTTGAATATAAATTGACTCTCCTTGTAACCATACAGCAGCTTCTCATATCTATTTAAATAAAATTCAGTCCGGGCGTGGTGGCTCACGCCTGTAATCCCAGCACTTTGGGAGGCCAAGGCAGACAGATTATCTGAGGTCAGGAGTTCAAGATCAACCTGGTCAACATGGTGATACCCCATCTATACTAAAAATACAAAAAAATTAGCCAGGTATGGTGGTGAGTGCCTGTAATCCCAGTTACTTGGGAAGCTGAGGCAGGAGAATCACTTGAACCCAGGAGGTGGAGGTTGCAGTGAGCAGAGATTGCGCCATGGCATGCCAGCCTGGGCAACAAGAATGAAACTCCATCTCAAAATAAATAAATAAATAAAATTTAAAAATAAATAAAAATAAAATAAAATTCAAATTTTTTACCGTGGACATCAGAGCCTATAATGATGAGGCTCCTGATTTCCTCTCCTTGTCCTACCTCATCTTCTGCCTCTCCATTTCCTTGCTTTCTATACCTCAGCCCTTCTAGCCTTCTTTCTCTCCCTCCACATAATTTCCCACACCAGTGCTTTCCCTCGATTCGGTCTCCCTGAATCTTTCGTCCGTTAGATCTTTATGACTGTCTACTTATTTTGTTGTCTCAGCTGAATATCACTTTCTCAGGTAGAGCTCCCTAAACATACAAACTAAAGTAGGTGAATCCATTTCTCTCTTTCAACACACATCTGATGTCTTTTCTTCAGTGCACTATGACTCTCTAACATTATCTTCTTTGTTAAATGCTTATTGGGTTAGTGTCTGTCTCCTCTACTCTTGTAACTTCCTTGAGAGTCGGGACCCTCTCTATCTTAATCAAATAGAATGATTTGAACCTAGAATGGAGCCCAGTACACAGTAGCTGCTGAGAAAAATAAGTGTGGTTTACATGAATAAACCAGGGTATGGGAACTGATCACTGTGGGGATCCTGGAAAGCAAGAAGGGGCTCAAGTTCCAGCACTCTTTCATTTTGATGTCACACTAGACCCCTTCTCCTCCCGGTGATAAATACAGGCAAACTTCTTTCTCCTCCTTCTAGTTGGAAGAAGAATTCACGGATAAAGAAACAGTGATTTAAGAAAAAGGAAATCTTTTTATTAAGAGTCATCTCTTTTGCCTGGGCACAGTGGCTCACATCTATAATCCTAGCATGTTGGGAGGCTAAGGCAGGAGGATTGCTTGAGTTCAGCAGTTTAAGACCAGCCTGGGCAATATGGCAAAATCTCCTCTCTACCAAAATTGCAAAAATTAGCTGGGCGTGGTTGCCTGCCTGTATTCTCAGCTACTCTGGAGCCTGAGGAGGGAGGATTGCTTGAGCATGGGAGGCAGAGGTTGCAGTGAGCCTCGATCACACCACTGAGCTACAGCCTGGGTGACAGAGGCAGGCCCTATCTCAAAGAGAAAAATATTATCTCTTTCAATGGATCTCATAGTGCTAAGGATCTGTGCAAGCTTTAGAGATTTCTGGAAATGATGACAACATAGTTGGGGAAAAATAGAGAGAAATGGGAGGAAGAGGTAAGCAGACATGGCTAATTAAGGAAAGCTGAGGGCATGATGGGTGAACCTATGAAACTGAGGACAAGACCGCAGTAAGACAATGAGTTTCCAGGACTTGCCCATTGACTTTCAGCCCTATGAGATGTGAACAATGTCCACATTGTCTCGGTAACCCCACACAGTATATAGTTTGAACATTATTAAATTTCTGATATTTGATTATTTTTGACTTACAAAAATAGAATTTCATATAATTTATACTACATTAGTTAAATCTCTTCTGTCATGTCTAGTTAGAGCATGTAGGAGATGTAGGAGAAACAAGTATAGAAAGGTTAAAAAGATTCATAATAAACACTAACCTGGGCCAGTTTTTCAGAGGATGCCTTAAGTTCTTTAGGCACCAAAGAATACCTCATAAATGCTCTGTATCTGTAAGGTGATTCCAAGTACTAATGATCTCAGCTTCAGTTCCAGGGATTTTTCCCCATAAGAAAGAAAGAGCACTAAGTATAACTTCTGTCAGACAACCTACATACACTACAGGGATACAGGCTTTATAAACATTGGAGTTCAGAAAGAAAAGAAAGGAGATACTAGGGAGGCCACTGGGTCCATCCTCACATATGAGGAAGAGGGGCCAACACCACAGGTCCTGTGGAGGACATAACCCAGGATCGTCTAGGAGAGACCCATTGAATTCCCTTGACTCCCACAAAATTTTCAGTAAAAACCTCCTTTTGTCTGACATAAGTCAACATAATAAAGGGAATTGCTGTTTGGGGAATTTATTTTAGCATCCTTATTTCCAAATCCTCTAAAGACCCTGAGGACATGTGATGCAAAGGTTTTATTGGTGGAGATTTGAGAAGAAATGGCCTGTACAAAGGCCCCTTACACAAGTCTCATGGAGAGGGCAAGTAGCCAAGTTCCTTTTGTGGAGGAAATAATTTGCGATCCCTTGATAAAGATGAGCAATCTCTGAAGAAAACCTCACAATTTCTTAAGGGACATGGCCTGGGCACAATGTTAACACAACTCCCTATATTCCCCCACCCCATAGTAGCTCAGCACCCACAATGTGCTCTTACGTCGGGTGTCCCCAGCGAAAGCCAGTCGGGAGCTCAGCACCATCAGTGTCACTGTCAACGCTGCCAAGCTGGAGCCTCCAGGGAGCTTCAGACACACCATGCTGGAGAAGAGGACAGGACCAGGGGCCAGAGGAGCAGGCAAGTCTCACTCAGGGAGAACTATGACCCCCCTCCACCCACATTCCAAATTATAGGGAGGAAGTTACTGATTTCCTTGCTCCTGGATTGGGTAATCTCGTGTCGGAGAACCAATCAGCATCTGAGTTCAACAGCATCATCAGTTGCTGCTCAGAGATGCTGTATGAAGGTCCTCTTCTGAAATAATTTCATTCTTTAAAGGAATGTTTTAATTTAGTACTTGAAAGGTTTGAACCAGTTGCATGTAAAACACTTTAATTGGGGAGCTATTGTGAGCCAGCTCTGTGCTGGTCAGTGATGTGTTCACAAGTTTGAGCCTTGTAAGAGCATTCATTTCCCACTTGACAAGACAACTGTTTGCAGAAGTGAGTGTGTGAGTGTGTTTAAGAGTAAAGGAGACGGAGGGAACATGGTTGTAAATCCGGAGTCCTTTAATCTTGTCTTTATTGTACCATATCTTAATGTCACAGATTTGGGAAAATTACTTCATGTCTCACAGTTGAAATGAAGGCACTGCGATCTTTCAGGTCTTTCAATACTGGAAAATTCTGTGATTCTCTAGACGCCTCAAGGAGCGGCAGCCCCAGGTATCTGGTAATATGACAGAATGACAGCTATTGACTAGAGAGTGTAATCTGTACCTATTTCCAGGTAGTGATGTCTTTAATAAGTTAAAGGAAATTGAAAGTCTGTTAATAATTTAATCTGAGTAAAAATATCTTTTTCAAGCGTGTCTCCTGATGCTGCCCCCAGGTTTAGCGGCACCTCCAGAACACACACAGGAATGGGCTAACAGGGGCCACCTATGTGCAATGGAGGGTCTGAAGGTGCCTTTGTACAGCACTTACCCTAACAATGTGATAAGGTCAAGTGTGCAATCCAGGTATTAATGGGTCTGAGAGATCGATCAAAGACTCTCAAAGTCAGCCGTTCACAGAACAACTCTTTTTTTTTTTCTTCTTTTTTGAGACAGAGCCTTGCTCTGTTGCCCTGGCTGGAGTGCAGTGGCATGATCTTGGCTCACTGCAACCTCCGCCTCCTCGGTTCAAACAATTCTCCTGCCACAGCCTCCCGAGTAACTCTGACTACAGGCACGTGCCTCCACGCTTGGCTAATTTTTTGTATTTTTAGTGGAGATGGGGTTTCACCGTGTTAGCCAGGATGGTCTCGATCTCCTGACTTCGTGTTCTACACCAGCAGTGTAACCCCAAACTGCTGGGGTTACTGGCGTGAGCCATCATGCCTGGTCACAATTCTGTTTTAAAATAATGAATATTTTATATGAAGAGTGTTCAGTCCCTCATTCCTGGTTCCCATTATGATTTCCTCATTTGATTGAGGCTATAGCACTTTACTATTATGTTTCTCTTGTTTTATCATAAGGGAGGCTATAAGACGACTTTGCTAACTAATACATTTTAGAATGTTCAGGAAAGAGAACACTAGGGAAAACTATGAATTACATCAGTTGATGTAACCATATAATATTAAACATATTATATACATTTAGATAATTATTATGCTTTTTATTAATATAAATGTAACATCTAAGATTCAGAATGGACTTCAAAGTACAACTATACTTATAGCGTTCTGCATTAATTCACATGCTACCACATAGGCACTCATTCCTTATAGGCCTTAGTGTTTCCAGGGGCAGGATTCTCATCATGCTGCCGTAAAAATGAGCATTTTACTTTATACTCAGAGTTGCACTAAGTGCTTTTTATACTTCATATTTTTATTTCATTCTCACATCAACTCACTAAAATAAATACCCTTTTCATGCTTACAGGTAGAGAGAATAAAACAATGGAGATGAAACAACTTTTGCAAAGATACAAAGCTAGTAAATGGTACACTATAGATTGAACCAAATTATATATCCCTCAGGCTCAGCCACTATATCATAATCCTTCACATCCTATTTCTGAGAATAATGTCCTATGTATTAAAATTATTTATATTCCTATAATTTATGGATGCACATAGCAATATGGCTACTTATGTTAATGAATGGCAGCAGTATACAATTTGAGGAAGATACTGTGTAGCAATTCTAGTTCCTTCAAAAGAATCACCTCATTATCATCCTTACCCTCCTCTGGAAATGGCAACATTTGCATTTATCTTATGTGATGACACCCATAGCTCCTGAGAAGTCTCCTTCTTATTAAAGGTAACAGTGACCTCAAAATTCCCAAATATAAACTATTGCTCAGAATTATTATTGCAGATTTCTCATCATAAAGTAGTAAATTTGATCATCTCAAAATAGAAGAAAAAAAGTGCCTCACTTACTTTGGAAAAACATACTTCTATTAATATAAAAAGTTCAAAATTTCATGGGAAAAAGTCACTACTGTCCCTGGATTTGAGAATAAACTATGTCTCTATACCACAATAATAATTCAATACTATGGGAATTTGTGAAATTGCAACCAGAATATCACATTTAATTTGGTCAACAGAAAATAATAATTTACTTAGAAGCTAATTTAATCCCAGCTACTCGGGAGGTGGGTGGATTGCTTGAACCTGGAAGGTCCACGCTGCAGTGATCCAAGATCATGCCACTGCATTCCAGCCTGGGTGGCAGATGGCAAACCCTGTAAAGAAAAAAAAAAAAAAAAGGAAAAGAAAGAAAGAAAAAAAAAGGAAAAGAAAGAAAGAAAAAAAAGAAAAGAAAAGAAGGAACAAACTGTGAAAAAAGAAACTAATTGAGATGATGGTAATCTAGGAAATCTGGCTAAGGTTCAGCTTAGTATTTTAGGATAAAAGGGTGGTGATGCTGGCAGTGGTGAGCTGTCCAGAGTGGCCGACTGCAGTGGGAAGTTGCAAGCAGTGGTGGCAGGAACGACTGCGGGAGCAATGGCC
>NT_167244.2:4324260-4440113 GCF_000001405.40 Homo sapiens
GGCCACTGAGCCCAGAGGGCTCTGTTATCAATCCCATGGCAATTCACTGCTAGTCTTCTGCAAAAGACACATGACCCAGAGGAGACCCTCAGACACGAGGAAAGAGGAACTCTGTAGGGGACTTAGAGGCAATCTCTTTAATTGGAGGGGCTAAATAGCTTTCCTCTCATGGTTTGCAGCTCAGTGTAAGGCCAGGCAAGCTCCCAGGAGGCCATCCAGGCTGTGAGGTCCCTAGAGAATCTCAGAGACCACACCAAAGGGTCACTCCTGTCTTAGCAACTGAGTAGGAAGCATTGTTGCCACCAAACTGTACAAATCTGAGAAACTTAGTCAAGGAGGGAAGGGAGGACTTTGGGGCTTAGAGTTAAGCAGACTACTGCCCAGACAGGCGATGGCAAGGACAGGCAGAGTCCAAAGTGTCCTTTGAGACAGAAGCAGCATCAATGGTGTGGTGATAATCCAAGGACATGATAGAACTTCAGGGGATAAACACACACGGATTCTAGAGAAAAACTGTATACACGGCCAGCGTGGATTAGTCTCAAAGCCAAGGGGAGGTTTGATGGGACTGAGATGTCTTCATGAGGCCAACCCGGAGTGGGACTGCCCTCATTTCCAGAGGATTTAGTAAGTAGGTTTGGGCAGAGAGTCAGGCTGGGACCAGCTATAAAGGCTTTGCCAATCTGACTTGACTTAGTGCCATAGGAAAGTGAAGGCAGGAAACTGATGCTAATTGATTCTGGGCCTCTTGTTTTCTGCCTCAAAATAGAGAGCTCTGGGATTGAGGAGGGAATCATACTAGCACCATAAATGGTTTGAAAGGTGTAAAGGGGAAAATGTGAAAACATTTTTTATATGTCATGTCAAAGTCCAGTCTGTCTGGAGCACAGCGTGTTTGTAAGGACACAGAGGGAGGTCAGGCTGAGGAAAGACTGTAGACAACTGCAATGCCAGGCTCAGGATGTGGGACTTTGCAGGCAGTGGAGAGACAGTGATGGTTTTTGAGGAGGAAGTGAGATGATCATGGTTGTGTTCTAGGATTATTAACCTGGCACTAGTGTAGCAAATAAATTCGATCTGAGGGTGGCAGGAAGGTTAAAGAAAAAATAAGAACAGCCTTAGCCAACTGCTTTGGAGAACAACAGGGTAAGCTCAGAAATGCCCAATTCGATACAATAATTATCACAAAAGGAGTTGCATTTGTAACGTACGTATTACTTTTTAATGTGCCTTTTCATCTGTCACATCATCTGGTGCCTCTGGTGTGACCTTCCAAGTCCATCCTCCTTCCTGACCCTATCCATCCAGGCTCAGCCCCTGGGAGTGTGCCCACTGCTCCTACAGTGCCTTCCACCACTGGTCCTGAGTTTTGGAGAAGACATAGGGAGATGACAAAACTTTAGAAACAACGGAAACAATTTAGGGAATGGGGTGGTCACTATGAGAGGAATAAAAGATGTCCACTGTAGACAGCATATATGGTGCAAGTCTATAATCTTGGAAAAAGTCAGACTACATTAATCGTGTTCACCAAATCCTGAAATACACAACAGGGAGAGTCTTTTAAACTTTGAAGATGGTAAGTTTAACATAAGTAGAAAAGCAGACTCTCTCATACCAAGGCTAACAAACCTATGGGAACCTGTTAGTCCCAAAAGTGAAATGTGTAAATTCTCAAAACATGTACATATATATATATAATCTACTCACACACACACAAGGGTGACAGAAACTTGAAGGACTGCTAAGAGAGCTCAAGGATATTTATGGCCTATTTAAACTTATGAAGCTTCTGTGGAGGAAATCTGTCCTTCTACACTTTGTCCCTGATGAAAGAGAGAAACCCTATGCTTACAGCAATATCCACCAGGAGTGATTTTGCCTCACAGGGGATATTTGCCAATGTCTGTAAACATTTTTGTTCTCACACTAGGAGAGGGGAGCACTATTGATATCTGGTGGGTGTAGCCCAGGGATGTTGGATGTTGCTAAACATCTTGGAATGCGTAGGACAGCCCCCAGCACAAAGAATTATTCAGCCCTAAATGGCAATGGTGCCAGGTTGAGAAACCCTGGCTTAGGGTCATGCTCCTGCCCTAAAGTGCAGTTACTATTGTTTGCAAGTTTAATTATTCCAGGAGCTATACCTCTGTTAAGGACTGAATTTTATCCCTCCCCACAACTCGAAATTCCTATGTTGAAACCTTAACACCTAATGTGAATGCTTTGGAGACAGGGCCTTTAAATAGGTAATTAAGGTGAAACGAGGTTATCCAGGTGGGGCCCTAAGGCCCCTTATAAGGACTGGTGTCCTTATAAGAAGAGGAAGAGACACCAGGAGAGCAAATGCACAGAGGCCCTGTGAGGACACAGTGAGAAGGCAGTCATCTCCAGGCCAGCAAGAGAGGCCTCAGAATGGAACCTACCTTGCTGGCAACTTGATCTTGGACTTCCAGACTCTGAGAAAATAAGTTTAAGTTTAAGCCACCCAGCCTGTGGTATCTTGTTATGGTGGCCCTGGCTAACTAATCACCCTTTCTCACTTACCTTTAGCTCTTCCTTACTCAATAAGTTTCCACTGAAAACTAGATGCTGGTGTGGTCCCCCTGCCCGATGTGCACACGTGGCCCACTGCAGATGGACCTACACAAGTGGCGCTGGAACCCTGAGGGGCTGAGGGGACCCCGCGTCCAGGCCACCCAGGTGCGGGGTGAGGGGGCACCCCAACTTCCCTGGATCACATGGGCTGCGGTGGCCGGTGGATCAGGGAGGAGAGGCGCGGGGAGCTTGCTGCAACTCTTCACCAGGGCAGGAGGGAAGATGCCCCCCACCTCCTCTAGTTCACCCTCTGGATTCAAGTTTGTCAGCCCCTGCCGCTGAGATCAGGGGATGGCACCAGATAGAATTTTAATTCAAAAGGAAGCAGAACTTAAAGATTAAGAAAATTCTTAGCCTATCCATATTGTGAAAACTAAGAAATCATGTTCAGGACAGAACACCAGTGGTGTGTCTATGTAACCATCGGATGAGGAAATTAGTATGGATCAACCATCTCAGTGGAATCTGGGTGCTATTCATCAAGGCAATGAAAGAATGACCCAAAGACATTTCAGATCAGGGCTGCCACTCCTATCCGAGGTGCGGAATACAAGGGCATGAGGGACAGAATGATTTCAAAGGAGGGGCTGCAGGTACTTGTGGGGCTTCAGCACTCACTATCATGGGCCACCTTGAGGCTCTGCTCTCCACATTCCATCACAGGGCTCCTAGGCTACCCCAGGTATGGCTCCAACAGATCCTGGTTTAGTGAGTGCTGTGCTCTGAAAAGCTGTGCGGGCATGGTAACCTCCACCTAGATTTCAAAGGATGCTCTGGAAAGCCACAGTGCGTAGGCAGAAAGCCACCATGTGCAGGGCCACCATGGAGAGACTGCACTGCGCAATGCCCAGTGAAGCAGTAGGGTAAGGCCACCCCTGAGGCCCTAGACCAATTGAACCACTGGTATACAATTTCAGCCTGGGAGAGCCTCGGGCACCCAGCTGCCTCAGAGGTAGGGCCACCAAAGGGAGCAACTATGAGGGCAGGGCTGCACAAAGCCATGAGGCAGAGGCCACCTCCCCAGTGTGCCTGGAGGGCAGAACCTTGATTCAAAAAGATTATTCTGGAAACTTGACTTGCTCAGGACCTGGTACACTTTTCTTCTCTCCCTTTTCTTCCTTTTGGAATAAGAATTTCTATCCTATGCCTGTCCCATCATTATATTTTGGAAGCAAATAGCATATTCGATTTCACAGCTGGAGAGCAATTTGCCTCACAATGAATCATACCTTGAGTCTCATCCATATCTGATTTATCCTCTTAACCCTTTTATGTGTATAGCTCAGTTGGGTAAATAATATTCACATTGTTGTGTGACAACTCTAGAACTTTTTTATATGCAAAATGAAACTTTATCCTCAGGGAACAACTCCCTATTTCCCGCTCTTCCCAGCTCCTGGAAACCCCCACTCTGTTTCTATTATTTTGACTTTAGATATCTCTTATAAGTGTAATCATACAGTATTTATCTTTTTGTGACTGGCTTATTCCACTTACCATAATGTTCATCCATGTTGTACCATGTAAGAGGATTTCTTCTTTTTTTAAGGCTGAATAATATTCCACTGCATATACATATATATATATATATATATATATATATACACACCACATTTTCTTTATTCATTTATCTGTCAATAAACTTTTCGGTTGTTTACACCCATTGTCTATTGTAAATAATGCTGCAATGTACATGAAAGCAGAAATATCTTTATTAAATGCTGATTTTGTTTCCTTTGGGTATGTATCTAGACATGGAATTGCTGAATCATGTGATAATTTTATTTGTAAACTTTTTAGGAAATCTCATACTGTTTTCCATGGTGGCTGCACCATTTACATTCCTACCAACAGTGCACCAGGATTCCAGTTCTTGACATCCTCGCTAACACTTGTTATTTTTTTTGTTGGGTTGGTTTTGTAGTGGCCACCTTAATGGCTGTGAGATAATATCTATCTCATTGTGGTTTTGATTCATGTTTCTCGAATAATTAATGGTGTTACACATATTTTCATACACTTGTTGGCTATTTGTATATATTATTTGAAGAATTATCTGTTCAAGTCCTTTGCCCATTTTTAAACCAGGTTATTTGCTTTTTTAATTGACAAAGAAAAATCATATATACCTATCATGTACAACGTGATGTTTAAAATATGTATGCATTGTGGAATGGTTAAATTGACCTAATTAATATATGCATTATATACTTCTATGGTGAGAACACTTAAAACCTACTCTCTTAGCAATTTGCAAGAATACAATGCATTGTTATTAATTATATTCACCACATTGTACACTAGGCCTCTTGAACATATTCCTCCTATTTGGCTGAAATTTTGTAACCTGGGACAAACATCTTTCCAACCAGCAGCATTTTCAGCTCCTAATAACCACCATTCTATTCACTATTTTTATTAGTTCAACTTTTTTGGATTCACATATAAATGAGATTATGTGGTATTTGTCTTTCTGTGGCATATCCACTTAACATAATGTTCTTCAAGTTCATCCATTTTTGTTGTGAGTGACAGGATCTTACTCTTTTTTAAGGCTCAATAGTATGCCATTGTGTGTATATACCACATTTTCATTATCCATTTATCTGTTGATACACACTTAGGTTGTTTCCATATCTTAGCTATTGTGAACAATGTTGCAATGAACATGGAGCATAAGTATCTCTATGAAGTGCTGATTTCATTTCCTTTGGGTGTATGCTCAGAAATGAGATTGCTGGATCACATGGTAGTTCTATTTTTAATTTTTTAAGGAGCCTCCATACTGTTTTCCATAATGACTATATAATTTACATTCCCACCAACAGTGTACAAGAGTTCCCTTTT
Organism: Homo sapiens; assembly: GCF_000001405.40. Taxonomy (NCBI): domain Eukaryota; kingdom Metazoa; phylum Chordata; class Mammalia; order Primates; family Hominidae; genus Homo; species Homo sapiens. Next base: position 4,329,706 of record NT_167244.2, read on the forward strand.
CTCCACACCCTTGCCAGCACTTGTTACCTGCCTTTGGCAATAGTCATTCTAACAGTTGTGAGATGGTATCTCACTGTGGTTTTAATTTTCATTTCTCTGATTAGCTATGTCGAGCATTTTTTTCATATGCCTGTTGGCCATTTGTATGTCAACTTTTGAGAAATGTCTTTTCAAATCCTTTGCTCATTTTAAAATCAGGCTGTTTTCTTGCTATTGAGTTGTTTGGATTCCTATACCCCTTATCAAGCATATGGTTTGCAAATGTTTTGTCCCATTCCATATGTTGTCTCTTCACTCTATTGATTGTTTCTTTGGCTGTAAGAAAAACAAGGTTTTTAGTTTTATATAATCCCATTTGTCTATTTTTGCTTTTGTTGCCTGTGCTTTTGGAATTATATCAAAAAATTATTGCCCAAACTAATGTCATGGAGCTTTTCTTCTATGTTTTCTTCTAGTAGTTTTACAGTTTCAGGTCTTATGTGTAAGCCTTTATTCTGAGTTGATTTTTGCATATGGTGTGAGATGACAGTCTAGTTTCATTCTTCTACATGTGGATATTCAGTTGTCCCAATACCATTTATTGAAGAGACTATGCTTTACCCATTGTTGGTTCTTGGCACCTTTGTTGAAAATCAATTGACCATGAATGTGTGGATTTGTTTCTGGACTATTTTGTCAATGCATCTGTTTTTATGTCAGTACCATGTTGTTTTGATTACTATGGCTTTGTAGTATATTAGTATATTTTGAAATCAGATAGTATGATGCCTCCAGTTTTGTTCTTTTTGCTCACAATTGCTTTGGCTATTCAAGGTCTTTTGTGGTTCCATATGAATTTAAGGATTTTTTTTTCTGTTTCTGTGAAAAATGTAAGGAAATTTTGATAGGGATTGCATCAAATCTGCAGATCACTTTGGGTAGTACAGACATTTTAACAATATTGATTCTTATAATCTATAAACACAGGATATCTTTCCATTTGTTTGTGACTTCTTCAATTTCCTTCATCAGTGTTTTATAGTTTTAAGCGTATAGGTCTTTCACCTCCTTTGTTAAATGTATTATTTCACTTATTTACTTATTTTTAGCTATTGTAAATGAGATTGTTTTATTGGTTTCATTTTCAGATAGTTCTTTGTTAGTGTGATGCTACTGATTTTTGTATGTTGATTTTTGTATCCTGCAACTTTACAAGATTCCTTTATTTTTTTTTCAGTACAATCTGTATTCTGTTGCAACTAGATTTCTTTATTACTTCATAGTTTTTAAGTGGAGTTATTATGGTTTTCTATTTATATAATCATGTCATCTACAAACAGTGACAATTTACATTTTTCCTTTCCAATTTGGATGATTTTTATTTCTTACTCTTGCCTAATTGCTGGCTAGAACTTCAGTACTATGTTGAATAGAAATGGTTAGAGTGGACCTCCTTGTCTTGTTCCTGGTCTTAGAGGAAAAAAATTTCAACTTTTCACCATTGAGAATGATATTAGCTATGAGTTTGTCATATATGACCTTCATTGTGTTGAGGTGCATTCCTTATTAGTTGAGAGTTTTTTTTTTAAATCACGAAAGGATGTTGAATTTTGTCAAATGCTTTTTCAGAGTCTATTGAGATATTAATATGGTTAGTATTCTTCATTCTGTTAAAGTGGTATGTCACATTTTTAGATTTGAGTATGTTGAAACATCTTGCATCCTTGGAATAAAACCCACATGATCATGATAAAAGACCCTTTTAATGTGCTGTTGCATTCATTTTGCTAGTATTTTGCTGAGGATGTTTACAGGCTATTTGTCATTGTTGCTGCTGTTGAGTTGTAGAAGCTCCTTATATATTCTGGATATTAACTTCTTACTGAAAAGATAATTTGCAAATATCTTATTTCATATTGTTTTTCACTCTGTTGATTGTTTTCATTGATGTGCAGAAATGTTTAAGTTTGATGAAGTTGGATTTGTGTATTTTTTGTTGCCTGTTTTTGGTCATATCCAATAAATTGTTGCAAAATTTAATGTCATAAAGTTTTCTTCTATGTTTGATAGAACTTCTAGGAGTTTGATACTTTTAGCTCTTACATTTAGGTCTTTTATCCATTTTGAGTTAATTTTTGTATTTGCATATGGTGTCAGGTAAGAATCCAACTTCATTATTTTCCATGTGGATATCCAGTTTTCCCAACGCAATTTGTCGAAGAGATTGACCTTTCCCCATTGTATACTCTTGGCACCCTGGTGGAAGATCATTTGACCATATACTTGAGGGTTTACTTCTGGAATAGACAGTTGACATTGGGGTACTCAGAAAACAGCAAGAATCTAAGAGTGTTTGAGGGTCTATTCTTAGAAAAAAACCTTTTTCATACCTCATAATCTCTGCTTTTGTGAATCCTTTCTATCTTTGAAAACAAAATCCATACTTATTCATTCATTTATCATTCATTCATTTACTCACTTACTTAACTCGATTTTATTGAGCACTTAGTGGCAGGATTCAGAGTAAAGACCCCCCTGTAGGACTTAGGTCCTTCAGTTATCCTCAGTTTTTAATGATTCATGTTTCATCTTAGCTCCTGTAACTCTTCCATATGGTCGTTCATTTACTGTACCCATAGTGTCCCGTATTTGCATGGGACTCAAATATATATGTCTTGAATCTAGACAAGGGATATTGTGTTTTAAGAAGTTATAACAATGAACAAATTCCATTCGCCCAGAGCAACTTTCTAATGGAATATATATATATATATATATATATATATATTTTTTTTTTTTTTTTTTTTTTTTTTTGAGACAGAGTCTCGCTCTGTCGCCCAGGCTGGAGTGCAGTGGCCCGATCTCGGCACACTGCAAGCTCCGCCTCCTGGGTTCACGCCATTTTCCTGCCTCAGCCTCTCGAGTAGCTGGGACTATAGGCGCCCGCCACCGCGCCCGGCTAATTTTTTGTATTTTTAGTAGAGACGGGGTTTCACCGTGGTCTCGATCTCCTGACCTCGTGATCCGCCTGCCTCGGCCTCCGAAAGTGCTGGGATTACAGGCGTGAGCCACCACGCCCAGCTCTAATGGATAAATTTAAGACACAACTATAAGATGGGAGTGGCTGAAAAAGCAGGGACTTCCTAATGCCCTGAAATCATGTGATAACTTTTTATCTTCTCTAAGACTGTCTGGCATGGTTTTCTCTTCTATTATTTTTGACAAATGTGGTACCTCTAGGCGTGAGTTTTTCTTTCACTTCTCATTTCTCCAACCACAAATGCTGTCACAGGCCAACAGGGAGAATTCAGTGATACATCATACTCATCCCTGAGCTGTGATGTTGGCTCTCCACCTCTATCAGCCATCAGATTTTCATATTATCTTGTCTCTCTCTTCCTCTTTCCTTACACCAAACATTGATTCATCAAGGAGTCTTATCACTTTACTATACTTCCATTTCAACTCACACTCAAATTCATCACTGATAATGTCTACTTTATAAAATATTCCTTCAAAGCAGCCATTGGCCTAATCCCCAGATGATGCCATTGATCCATGACAATAGGGAGAATAATGTCTCCATCATTACTTTCTTCTCATAGTCTTTTAATTCCTTATACAGAGGCTAGTTTCAACTGCAAAAGTAACATGGGGTCCTTTGTCTATCAAACACTCCCCTTGTAACATTCATATCTGCTCTGGGACAGAAATCTGTCCTCTGGACACCAGAGTAGGAGGTTTAAGAAAGGCCAAACGTTGATACAATCCAACTGATGTAGAGTGATAAGGAAGGCAGTCAGGCAGCATGAGGAAGTGGGAGGATGGGAGTTACAGAGAATTTCTGATGTAGACAATGAGCTTCTTTTCTTTTTCTTAAGGGATTTCCACAATCCTCCACTTTGTGGTATTGGGGACAGTGGTAATGACAGGGTGGGAAGGGCAGAAGAGGCTTATTTCAAGAGGAAGCAGTAAAAGGTGGGCCTGTGAGGACCTGTTTAGCAGGCTTTAACATCCTATGTACAAGTCCTTATCTTTTGAAGTGCTCTCCTGATCCAGGCCCTGCTTATCATTATTCACAAATTTCAGTGTCTGAAATAATCCAGAAGGTGGACAATCAGACATCCACAGATTAATTGATGATTTATACTTATTCTCCCTCTCTCCCCACTCTCTCTCCCTTTCTCTTCTCTCTCTCCCCCTCTCCCTCCCCTCCCTCCCTCCCCCTCTCTCCTTCTCCATCTCTCCCTCTCCATCTCTCCCTCTTCATCTCTTCCTCCCCTTCCCTCCCCTCCCCTCTCCCTCTTCATCTCTTCCTCCCCTTCCCTCCCCTCCCCTCTCCTTTCTGTCTCTCTCAGCTCCAAAAAAGAATGATACAGAGATGCATAACACTCCTCTCTCTCCCATCTGAAAATTTAGGGATGGGGTGGGGTCCTAAGAAGCTAGCCTTAGAATCTCTTCCTCTTACTGTGGTTTCCTTAACCCTCCATCATCTCATAACTAATGATAAGTCTGAAAATGAGCTTCCGTATTAATTCTCATTATTCTGACAACAGACTCTAGAATCCAGCCATATTCTACTGTTTGGAGCCAGCCAGGGACTTTCCAAGTATTCACAGTGAAACACTGGCTTCCATGCCTGGGTCTCCCCACCCACTGCCTCTGCACTTGGTGCCTTTGAACCTCTCTTGTTCCTCTTGCCCTTGCTACTTCTGTATAGATCACAAGCTCCCTCCACACAGCTTCAGTTACACACATCCGTGCAGCAGGACCTTCTCAGGGGCTTAGTCTGCCAGAAACTAGTGACACTGCCTTTCACCCACTTTTTATTGGATAGAGAGAAATGTTACCAGAATTTCCCAGGAAAAGAGCTTCTTTGAAGTCTCTACATGCATTCAGATAAATCCTTTCCCTGATATTTTCCCTCCATCCCCCCTCCTCACAGCCCTGTTCAGAAGCCTGAACATGTCATGATGGCTGGGGCCTCAAATCCAGGGGACAATCTGAGGTGAAGGTGAGCAAGGAGACAGTCTACAAAGAGGCCGTGGAAGCTGTCGGGGAAGGAGAATGTTCAAGTAGCACAGGCAATCAAACACTTCCCATTGCTCCAGGTGCCAAAGCAGGAATGAAAACCTGTCCCCTCTGTTGAATACTCTTCTTCTTCACTCCTAAAACTACACACCTGATGTTAGTCGTCAGCCCTCTTCTTATCACTCTACACCTGCTGCTCTGGAGAACTCATCCAGGCCTGTGGCTCCCTGCACGTCTACACTAGTAACCTCTGAATCCACGGTCTCTAGCACACCCTCCTGCTCCCATCCCCAGGTGGCAGTCAGGTGCCTGCACTTGGCTATCTCAACATCAACATCACCCCAACACCTGTTTTTTCATGCATTCAAGGGAGATTTTTTTCTCCCCAAGTTTCTTTCACCTTCCCTTTGGGGTTCCTGGAATAAATAATACAAAACTTGAGGTTCTCTTGTGATGCTGTTTGGAGTCGAGAGAGAGACAGAGAGAGAGAGATACCCCCAGGAGGGAGCTGTCCCAATTCTTTTCCATCACTCGGGAGCTAGCCCTACATCTAGTCTTACTGTTTGGAGCCTTATAAAAAGATCTCATGAGCAGCCCCCTGGGAATAGCATGTCTTTGTTCTCTGAGAGGCAGTGATTTTTATCTGGACCCCACATAACTTTTCCCCAGAGAGCATCACAGTAAAAGCACATGTTTATCTTCTCTCCTTAACTTCTGACATCCTTAAATCCCAAGGAAGGGTATGGAGGGAGACAGATTGATGATTCTGTGTATTTGGGTAAACCAGGTTCCTGGCTAAAATCACTTAGTCAAAAATGCCAAGCATGGTCAAGGGAGAAGGGTTAGAGAGTCTAAAAGAATGAAATTTGGAGACAGGTAAACTTGAAATTTATTCTTTCCTTCACCTATTATTGTGTATGTGATTTGGGGTCATATTCTTAACTATAACTACCTATTGCCTCATCTTAGAATAAGGATAAATAATATCTATGTTGAAACACTGCTGTGAGCATTAGTGCTCAATAACTATTACTACTGTACTAATGCAGGTTCTTGATTTTAAACAATAGAATGCAAACTTGAATAATTAAGCAGAAAAGGCATTTATTGGAAAGGAACTAAATAGCTCATAGAGGATATGACAAAGGCAGGAGTTCTTCATAGTTGATATTGTATCTCCGTGCATTGAATCAGGAGACATATGATGTTGATTTGTTCTGTTATCAGTGATGCTAATTTTGACTACTTGATTTTAGTGGTAACTGACAGATTTTTTCAACCATAAAGTTACTATTTTCATTGCTTGATTTTCGTATATTAAACTTACCCTGTGATGCTAATTTTGACTACTTGATTTTAGTGGTAACTGACAGATTTTTCAACCATAAGTTACTATTTTCATTGCTTGATTTTCATATATTAAACTTACCCTATGTTCATAGAATAAACTCAACTTGGTCATTATTTTACCTAGTGTTATATTTAATTGACTAATAGATCTTTTAGGAGTTTTGTATCTGTGTTTAAAAATGAGATGAGCCTTACTTTTGCTTTTTTGTTTTTGTTTTTGCTTCATGCTTATGAGGATTTGGCATATTGCTGCATGAGTTGAGAAATGTTCCTTTATTCCCCCGTCTTTTGGAATCGCTTGTGTAAGGTTAGCAAATGCCTTCACTGAATATTTAGAAGAATTCACCCAATAAGATCATCTTTGCCTACAGATTTCTTTGTGGAAAGTTTTGTAATTACCAACTCAATTTCTTTAATAGATACAGGATTATGAAAATTTTTCTATTATTTCTTGAGTTCATTTTAGTAAGTGGTGTTTTCTAGAATATGTCTATTTCATCTAGCTTTTCAAATTTGTCAGCATAAAGTTATTTATAATATTTTCTATTGTAATTTTAATGTCTACAGGACCCATAATGACAGTACCTTTTTCATTCCTGATATTGGAATTTCATGCCTTCTGTCTTGTTTTAAAATCTTCCACAGTCTTGCTAAAATTTTATCAATCCTATTAGTCTTTTCAAAGAAACAAGCCTTTAGTGTTGTTGATGTTTTTCTACTGTATTATTATTTCCTATCAAATTATTTTCTTCTTTTATGTATATAATTCCCTTACTTTTACTTTTCTTGGGTTAAATTTGACATTCTTTTTCTAAGTATATGATTTTCAGTATTTCTTTCTTTCCAATTAATTATATGCACTTAAGGTTGCATATAATTTTTGTCTAGACCTGACTTCAGCTTCATCTTATGTTATAATATTTTGTAATGCAAGTATAATTTGCAATATTTTCAATTTTCTTTCTTCCTTCCTTCTTTTCTTTTTCTTTCCTTTCCTTTTCTTTTCTTTCAAGACAGGGTCTCACTCTGTTGCCCTGGCTGGAGTGCAGTGGTGCTGTCATATCTCACTGCAGCCTTGGACTCCTGGGCTCAAGTGATCCTCCCACCTCAGCCTCCTAAGAAGCTAGGACCTCAGGCATGCAGCACCACACCAGCTAACTTATATTTTATTTTTCGTAGAGATAGGATCTCATCATGTGGTCCAGGCTGGTTTTGAACTTCCTAGGCTCAAGCAATCCTCTTGCCTTGGCCTCCCAAAGTACTGGGATTACAGGCATGAGCCACCACACCCAACTGATATTTTCAATTTTTTATTGTCAGGGATCTGATAATAATTAGATTTAATCTCTGATTATCTTCTTTGATCTATGGATTATTTTAATTTGTATTTCTTAATTTCTAAACTCTTCAAAATTTTTTGGTTATCTTTCTGTAATTGATCTCTAGCTCTGTTCTATTTTTGTCAAAGAACATTATAAAAGATAAAATACTTTGAAATATTGTATTCTTTTTCATTGTTTTAGTAGTTATGTTTTTCGAGAAATTTGTCTTTTTTTTTTTTGACAGGTTGCTATGTTGCCCAGGCTACAGTGCACGATAACCCCATACTCCTGGGTTCAGGCAATCCTCCTGCCTCAACTTCCCTAGTAGCTGGTACTACAGATGTGTGCCACCCTGCCCAGCACAAAATGTGTCCATTTTATCTAGATTATCTAATTGTTGGCACGCAATTGTACACAGTATTCCCTTATATTGTTTTTCATTTCTGTAAAGTGGTAGAAAGGTCTCATCTTTTATTCCTGATTTGAGTAATTCAATTCCTTTCTTTTTTTTCTTACTCAATCTAGCTAAAGTTTCCTCAGTTTTGATTCTTTAAAAGCAAAAACTTAGTTTTGTTGATTTTCTCTATCTTTTTCTATTTCCTAGTTCATTTATTCCCATTCTAACATTCCTTTCACTAGTTCTGGTTTGTCTTACTCATTTCTAATTTCTTTTCTTTTCTTTTCTTTTTTTGTTTGTTTATTTGTTTGTTTGAGACAGGGTTATTTTTTTGAGATGGAGTCTTGCTCTGTCACCCAGGCTAGAGTGCAGGGGCCTGATCTCCACACACTGCAACCTCCCCATCCCGGGTTCAAACGATTCTCCTGTCTCAGCCTCCCGAGTGGCTGGGGTTATAGGTGCCTGCCACCACGCCAGGCTAATTTTTGTATGTTTAGTAGAGATGGGGTTACATCATGTTGGCCAGGCTGATCTCAAACTCCTGACTTCAAGCAATCCACCCTCCTTGGCCTCCCAGAGTGCTGGGATTACAGAGTGAGCCACCGCACCCGGCCTCTTTTCTAATTTCTTAAAGTGGAAGGTTGTTACTGATTTGCAATTTTTCTTCTTTTTTAATGTAGGTATTTACAGCTATAACTTTCTCTTTTATCATTAAAATGTCCTTACTTTTCTCTAGTGGTATGTTTGTATTAAGGTCTATTTTGTCTGGCATTAGTGTAGCCACTCCAGCTTTCTTTTGGTTGCTCTTTACATGGTGTATCTTTTCCTGCCTTGTACTTTCAACCTCTTTGTAACTTTGTATCTAAGGTTTGTCTCCAGCAGAGAATATATAGTTGCATCATTTTTATTTTATCCATTCTGCTAACCTGTCTAAATTGAAATGTAATGTATTTATATTTAGTGTGATTACTGTAACATATTTTTATGTCTGCCATTTCATTGTTTATTTTCTATTTTTCTTATATCTTTTTTGTTCCTCTATTCCTCTATTACTGCTTTTTGTTGTGTTAAATAGACATTTTCTATGTATCATTTTAATTCACTTATCATTTCTTTTACTCTACATTTTTAGTTCCTCTACTTTTTTGTCTTAGTGACTACCCTACAGATTAAAATTAGCATATTAATAATCTAGTTTGTATTAATACCAACTTAATTTCAATAGTATACAAACACTTTATTTCTATACAGCTCTGTTCCCTACCCCCGTGCTGTTATTGTCATACAAATTATACCATTCTTACATGTGTGCCTATCAACACAGATTTATAAATATTGTTTGCTGAAGTTTTAAATTAAATAGGAGAAAAAGTCATTAAAAAGTACATTTATATTGTCTTTTATATTCACCTATTTCAGTTACCTTTTTGGTGTCTTTATTTCCTTACATGGATTTGACTATATTACACTATATTCTAGTGTCCTTTCACTTCAGCCTGAAAGTATTTTAGTACAGCTGTCTTGCTAATGATGAAATCTCTGTTTCTTTTTACCTGAAAATGTCTTAATTTCTCCTTCATTTAGAGTTTTTGGCTGACAGCTTTTCCCCTCAGCACTTTGAATAAGTCTTTCAATTGCATTCTAGCCTCCATGGTTCTCTTTCTTTCTCTTCCTTTCTTTCTTTCTCTCTCTCTCTCTTTCTTTTTATCTTCCTCTGTCTCTCTTTTTTATGTTTTTACTTTTTTCTTTTAAATAGGGATGGAGTGTTGAACTCCTACACTCAAGCAATCCTCCCACCTCAGCCTCCCAAAGTGCTAGGATTAAAGGCATGAGTCACCGCACCTGACCCTCCATGGCTTCTAATGAAAGATCATCTGTCAATCTTCTTGCTTGAATGTGATAAGTCATTTCTCTCTTAATGGTTTCAAGATATCTTTGTCTTCAACTTTCAACAGATTGATTACAATGTGTGTAGGTGTGGATCTCTTTGAGTTTATTCTACTTATAGTTCATTAAGATTCTCAGATATGTAGATTAACATTTTTTATCAAATTTGCAAAGTTTTCAGCCATTATTTCTTCAAATATTTTTTCTGGCACCCTTTTTTTCATTTTAGGACTACAGTTATACATATTTTGGTCTGCTTGATGGTGTTCTACAGGTCTCTGAGGATCTGTTCATTTTTCTTTTCCCATTTTTCTTCTTCTTCCTCAAACTGGATAATCAAAATTAACCTACATTTAACTTTGTTGATTATTTCTTCTGCCTTGCTCAAATCTGCTGTCAAGCCAGTCTGGTGAAATTTTCATTTCTGTTATTGTATTTTTCAACTCCAGAATTTCTATTTGGTTCTTTTCTTATATAATTCCTGTTGCTGTAGTCTCTATTGGGTGGTGAGACATCATTCATATGCTTGCCTTTAGTAAACATGATTTCCTTCCATTCTTTGAATATATTTTAAATGCTTATTTAATGTCTTTGTCTAGTAAGTCTAAATGCTGGGCTTCCTTAGAGACATTTTTTATTTATTAATTTCCCCCCTATGTACAGGCCATGCTTTATTATTTCTTTGCATGTCTTGTAATTTTTGTTGAAAACTAGATATTTTGTGTAATATAATGTGGCAACCCAGATAATGAGATTCTTCCCTCGCTTTCCCTTCTAGGGTTTGCTTTCATTGTTTGTTGTTGTTTTATTTTGTGACTTTTCTGAACAAATCTTGCAAAGTCTGATTCTTTGTTATGTGTAGCTATTACATTTTTTCTCAGTTAGCTTAGTGGTCACCTAATGTTTGAACAAAGGTTTCCTAAAATGCCTGGAATAAACATATCTCCTAGTCTTTCCTGGGGAGCTTTTTCTTTGTTTTGTGTTCCTATAAGAGAATACCTGAGATGAAGTAATTTATAAAGAAAAGAGGTTTATTTTACTCATGGTTCTGCAGGCTGGAAAGTTCAATATTAGACAGCTGATTTGGTGGCTTCTGCTGAGGTCCTTGTGCTGTGTCAAAACATGGCAGAGAAACAAAAGGAGAACGAGGTATATGTGAACAGGACAAAACAAGAGAGGCAAACTCACTTTATAACAACCCACTCTCAAGGGAACTTCATAACTAACCCAGTCTTTCAAGAAAGACACCAATCCAACTTAATGACCTAAGCACCTCTTAAAGGCACCATCTCCCAACACCACCAGATTGGGAACCAAGCCTCAAAATAAGTTTTGATGAGGACAAGCCATATTCAAACCACAGCAGGTTCTGTGTGCATGTTGGTGATACCTTCAACACTCAGCCAGACAGTTGACAACTCCACTTTACCCTTTATTTCCTCCTTGTACAGAGCACCAAGGCCAGTCCAAGAAGAAAGCTTACAATCTTCTCAGGTCTTTCCTAAGTATGCACCCCATCCTACATATGTACATGGCCTTCTAGATTTCCAGGAATATGATGGAAATAATCAAAGCCCCTTGGACATCTCATTTCCCAGATTTTCCCTTTAAGCTTTTTATTTAATCTCTTGTTTTCCTCAACTGTTATCCACTGCCTCAGGCAATTCGGTTGCCTTTAATTGTTTCCAATAAATATTTTCATGGAAAAGGATTTTTGCACCGGGCAAGTTCCCAATCAGGTCAAATGAGAACTACTTTGCAAATTGGGTATTCCAGGAAACCACCAGACAGGTAAAATAATGACAATTCTCTGATCACAAGGTTTTGGAAAAGCCCCAGCTCTGTTCTGCTCCCTCCAGGCTGCTGATTTTCACCATGATTACAGCTTGTTGGTTCTCAAGTCTACTGCAGAACCCGAGAGGACAGAATGGGAATTGTACAAGTTAAAATGTCACAAAACTGTTCTTATTGAGATTGCACCATTTTTCTTTAGTAAATGTTCTCTGGATTGCTGCAAGACTTTGGTTAATTTCCAGAGTTCTGAAAGAGTTGATTTTTTTTTCAATTTTTGTCACTTTTCTTGTTGCTTTTATGGAGAGGAGAGTTTTTGGAGGTTCTTACTTTGTTATTTTTGCCAATATTGACCCATCTATAGGAGTTTTTAAAAATTTATATCATCATTTTTTAGTTCTAGAATTTCTATTAATTCTTTTCTATACATTCTATTTCTTTAATAAAATTTTTCATTATGATTTCTATTATCTTTTTACATATTCATTATAGCTATTATAAAGTTTATCTCTAATCCAATAATTAAGTTATTCATTATTTTTCTCAGTGATGCACTTTTCTTCCAGAAGGAATTAGCCCTATCCTCTGTTAGGCATATAGAGTAGAAAATGATCCTTATTTTAATCTGGAATGGATCTGACTTGAAGCAGAGTTTAAGCTTTTTCTGGCTGTCATTGTCTACTGTTTCACTGACATCCTGATCCCTTAAATTTGGCAGCCCCAGATACCATTCTTTGTCTCTCCATGGCCATAAGTTGTTTGCTAGAATTATCAGTCTGTTGCTCTGCCCTAAAAATAAGATAATCTTTAGGAGTAAAGCAACTGGAGAATGTTGGCTCCTCTCTTGTTATCTTCTTTTCATGATCTTGTCTTCTCAAGCTGTCATCACCTTGAGAGTTTTATGATTCCCTCAAGCGTATATTTTTTGTAGTTTTTTTTCCTTTGAGAGGGGGTCTTGCTCTGTCACCCAGGCTGGAGTGCGGTGGTGTGATCATAGCTCACTGCAGACTCAGCTTCCTGAGCTCCAGTATTCAAGCAATCCTCCTGCCTCAGATTCCCAAGTAGCTAGGACTATAGGCATGGGCCACCATGCCCAGTTGATTTTTTATTTTTATAGAGTCTGGGTCTTGCTATGTTGCCCAAGCTGGTCTTAAGACTCCTAGGCTCAAGTGATCCTCCTGCCTTGGCCTCCTGAAGTGCTGGGATTACAGGTATGAGCCACTGTGCCTGGCCTATTTTTTGTGTTTTATCTGGCTTTACTCATTATTATTGGAAGGAACATTAATATTGTACAAGCTATTCCATCATAGCCAAAAAGAGGAAGGCAATCTACGGTATTGTTTTTTATTGACAACTGGGGATAGAATTGGAAACTCAGGTCTTTCTACTAGTCTCTTCCTTCATAATCTCTTATTTCAGAAGTGGAAGTTGATATTGGACATCTTCCAGTAGCCAAGTGTATATATTGCATTAATATAGTATGGATCTGGGAGATAACCGAATGATGTGTTATGACTACCATAATCTACCACTTTGACCAGCAAACCATAGTCACTCCTTGTTGGGAGAATACAATGGATCAAACATACATTATGTCTGGGACTAGAAGAAAAATAATTTTATTCCTCTTCAGTTACTATACGGTAATCATTAATCTTAGATACTCCTAGAATTAATGACACTCATTAACCAGTTTATCATTGATGTCATTGTTGTCATAGTAAATTAGAAATGAGGGATTATCTTCATCAATGTCAGTATTTCAAGTAATACCAGCAAGAAATTAATAATAACCTGTATAGATGTGCTTGGGCAGATTCATTTGAGGCTGGGGAGAGAGAATAGCCAAGTACATCAAGTACATGATCTGGTAAAAGTAAGGCGTCCAGTATGGCTAAAGTGTAGTGTACAATAGCGTGACAGAGAGTAAATGACTAGAATAATGAGTTGATGCCTTTTATTTACTACTTCTCTGCCTCTCGCTGGGTAGAGAGGAGGTAAACAATATCAAATGTTGGCAAGTAACAATATCTTATTATGGCTTTACATTGAAGAATCAAGGCCTATAGTGATTAGTAAGCACATAAAACACAATATTGAGAGTTCTAAGATCATTAGTATAAGAATCAGTCATCCTTAGTTTAAACCTATCTATGTCCCTGATTAAGCCCGTGTAATAATTTAACTATGCATGGAGTGAATGTAAAGCCATAAATACATTTTCTACCTTGTGTATCCCCAACTTAACTTTCCCTTATTTGAATCTCTGAAATATCTATGGTCACTCTATTGCCGCCTAACAAGGGGCAAAATGTATGATGGATGAGAAGTCAGAATGAAGAAATACAACAGTCTTAACAATTTGCTGTTAAATTATCTTACTTTTTGCAGATTGTACAAAAATATATGATGTTAAAAGGCTCCTGCAAGAAGGGGTCCCGAATATTAAGTCTTTTTAGATTAAAGGTAAGTCAGCCTCTGTATAAGGACAATTTCATTCCTATACTTGCTCTTATTTTCTTTCCTTTTTCTCTGGATTTGGCTCTCTCCTATCTTCTTTTTCTTGTCACTCTATTTATTCATCTTTTTTTTGCCTATTTACCAACTGGTTGTAATTTAGAAATGAAAAATATGTATCTTAATATTTTGATGTATTCATTTACGTAATAATGTAAGTTCTGAAGATTTGGAATGTATAAGTGAAAATGTCATTATGCTTTGTTTCTGTAAAATAAAAACTAAACTACATGTTTGGGTTGGGGGCTTTGGTTTTTGTTTTTAGTTCTAAAATTTTTTGATACATTATATTTGAACATATTCATGGGTTATATGTGATATTTTGTTACATGCATGCAATGTAATGATGAAGTCAGGGTGTTTAGGGTATCTATCACCCACAATTTATCATTTTTATGCATTGAGTACATTTCAAGTCCTCTCTTCTAGTTTTTTTGAAAAATACTACACATTGTTGTTAACTATAGTCACCCTACTCTGCTATCAAACACTGGAATTTATTCTTTATATTAGTATAGGTTCATAACCATTAACCAACATCTCTGTATCTCCGTCCACTTCCTAGTCTCTGGTATCTATCATTCTACTCTCTACCCTGATGTGATCAACTTTTTAAACTCCCACATACGAGTGAGAACATGTGATATTTGTTTTTTTGTGCCTGGCTTATTTCACTTAACATTATGACGTCCACTTCCATCCATGTTACTGCAAATGACATGATTTCATCTTTTTAAATGGCTGAATACTTTCATTGTCTATATATACTACATTTTCTTTATCCATTCATCCATTCATGGACCCTTAGGTTGATTCCATATCTTGGCTCTTGTGAATAGTGCTGCAATAAAGAATGTGTGTATCCCTTTGATACATTAATTTCTTTTCCATTTGGATAAATACTAATTAGTGAGATTGCTTGATTGTGTAGTAGTTCTATTTTTAGTTTTTTGAGAAATCTCCATATTATTTTCCATAGTGGCTGTACTTACTTACATTCCAAGCAATGGTGAATAAGAGTTCCCTTTTCTCCATATCCTTGCCAACACCTGTGGTTTTTTTGTTTTGTTTGTTTGTTTGTTTTGTCTTTTTCATAGTAGCCATCCCAACTGGGGTAAAATGATATCTCATTGTGGTTGTTTGTTTTGCTTTTGTAGTGATGGGATCTCACTACTTTGCTTAGGCTGGTCTCAAACTCCTGGCTCAAGCGATCCTCCCACCTTGGCCTCTGAAAGTGTCGGCATTACAGTCATGAGCCACTGTGGCCTGACTTCATTGTGGTTTTGATTTGCATTTCCCTGATGATTAGTAATGTTGAGCATTCTTTCATGTACCTGTTGACCATTTATATGTCTTCTTTTCTTTCTCTTGCTCTCTCTCATTTTTCTTTTCTCAATGAAGAGAACAAATGCCTGTCTTCTTTTGGGAAATGTCTGTTCATGTTCTTTGCTCATTTTAAAAATGGGGTTATTAATTAATTAATTAATTAATTTAATTATTTATTTTTGAGACTAGATCTTGCCCAGGTTAGTGTGCAGTGGTCCCATAGTTCACTGCAGCATCAAATTCCTGGGTTCAAGCTATCCTTTTGCCTCAGTCCTTCAGCTGGGACTACAGGCTCATGTCACCATACCAGGCTATTTGGTTTTTTTTAATTTTAGTAAGAGACTGAGGTCTAGCTATGCTTCCTGGGCTGATCTTGAACTCCTGGACTCAAGAGATCCTCCTGCTGTAGGCCCCCAAAGTGCTGACATTACAGGCATTAGCCACCACACCTGGCCAGGATTATTTATTTTTTTACTATGAAGATGTTTGATTTCCTTGTATATTCTGGATATTCATCCCCTGTTGGATGAGTAGCTTGCATATATTTTCTCCCATTTAAGAGGTTTTCTCTTCACCCTGTAGATTGTTTCTTTTGCTGTGCAGAAGCTTTTTAGTTTAATATAGTTCCATTTGTCCATTTTTGGTTTTGTTACTGGTGCTTTTGAGATCTTAGCCATAAAATCTTTGCCTAGACCTATTTCCTGAAGAACTTTTTCTATGTTTTCTTCTAGCAGATTTATAGTTTCAGGTATTACATTTAAGTCTTTAATCTATCTTGAGTTGATTTTTGTATATGGTGAGAAGTAGGGGTCCAGTTTCATTCTTCTGCATATGGTTATCCAGTGTTCCCAGCACCATTTATAGAAAAGGATGTCATATCCCCAATGAATATTCTTCATAGCTTCATTGAATGTAAGTCAGCTATAAATATGTGGATTTATTTCTGGGTTTTCTATTCTGTTCTATTCTTTTTTAAAAAAAATTTATTTCTATAGGTTATTGGGAAACAGGTGGTGTTTGGTTACATGAGTGAGTTCTTTAGTGAAGATTTTTGAGACTTTGGTGCACCCATCACCCAAGCAGTATACACTGCAACCAATTTGTAATCTTTTATCCGTCACCCCCTTCCCACCCTTTCCTGCAGAGTCCCCAAAGTCCATTGTGCCATGCTTATGCCTTTGCATCCTCATAGCTTAGTTCCCACTTATGAGTGAGAACATACGATGCCTGGTTTTCCCTTCCTGAGTTACTGCACTTAGAATAATAGTCTCCAATCTCAAACAGGTCACTGCAAATGCCATTAAATCATTCCTTTTTATGGCTGAGTAGTATTCCATCATATATATATATATTCCATCATATATATATATATATATATATATATATATATATATATATATATATCAAAGTTTCTTTATCCACTCATTGGGTTACTTCCACATTTTTGCAATTGTGAATCGTGCTGCTATAAATATGTGTATGCAAGTATCTTTTTTGTATAATGACTTCTTTTCCTCTGGGTAGATACCCAGTAGTGGGATTGCTGGATCAAATGGTAGTTCTACTTTTAGGACTCTTTAAGGAAACTCCACACTGTTTTCCATAGTGGTTGTACCAGTTTACATTCCCACCAGCAGTGGAAAATTGCTCTCTGTTCACCACATCCTTGCCAACATCTATTATTTTTTGATTTTTTGATTAAGGCCATTCTTTCAGGAGTGAAATGGTATTGCATTGTGGTTTTGATTTGCATTTTCCTGATTATTAGTGATGCTGAGCAATTTTTCTTATGTTTGTTGGCCATTTGTATGTCTTTTTTTGAGAATTGTCTATTCATGCCCTTAACTCATATTTTATGGGATTGTTTGTTTTTTACTTACTAATTTGTTTGGGTTCATTGTAGATTCTGGATATTAGTCCTTTGTCATATGTATAGATTGTGAAGATTTTCTCCCACTCTGTGGGTTATCTGTTTACTCTGCTGACTGTTCCTTTTGCCGTGCAAAAGCTCTTTAGTTTAATTAAGGTCTCAGCTATTTATCTTTGTTCTTATTGCATTTACTTTTGGGTTCTTGGTCATTAAATCCTTGCCTAAGCCAATGTCTAGAAGGGTTTTTCCGATGTTATCTTCTAAAATTCTTATAGTTTCAGGTCTTAGATTTATGTCCCTGATCTACCTTGAGTTGATTTTTGTATAGAGTGAGAGACATGGATCCAGTTTTATTCTCCTACATGTGGCTTGCCAATTATCCCAGCTCAATTTGTTGAATAGGGTGTGCTTTTACCACTTTATGTTTTTGTTTGCTTTGTCAAAGATCAGTTGGCTGTAAGTATTTGGGTTTATTTCTGGGTTCTCTATTCTGTTTTATTGGTCTATGTGCCTACATTTATACCAGTACCATGCTGTCTTGGTGACTATGGCCTTATATTATATTTTGAAATCAGGTAATGTGATGCCTCCAGATCTGTTCTTTTTGGTTAGTCTTGCTTTGGCTATGTGGGCTCTTTTTTGGTTCCATATGAAATTTAGAATTGTTTTTTCTAGTTCTGTGAAGAATGATGGTGGTATTTTGATGGGAATTGCATTGAATTTGTGACTGCCTTTTGCAGTATAGTCCTTTTCACAATATTGATTCTACCCATCCATGAGCATGGGATGTGTTTCCATTTGTTTGTGTCATCTATGATTTCTTTCAGCAGTGTTTTGTAGTATTCCTGGTAGAGATTTTTAGCCTCCTTGGTTAAGTATATTCCAAGTATTTTTTAAATTTATTTTCGGAAAACTATTGTAAAAGGGATTGAGTTCTTGATTTGATTCTCAGCTTGGTCATTGGTGTATAGTAGTGCTACTTATTTGTATACATTTATTTTGTAACCTGAAAATTTGCTGAATTCATTTTTCGGATCTAGGAGCTTTTTGGATGAGTCTTTAGGGTTTTTGAAGTATATGATCATATCATTAGTGAACAGTGATGGTTTGACTTTCTCTTTACCTATTTGTATGTCCTTTATTTCTTTCTCTTGTCTGATTATTCTGGCTAGGACTTCCAATCCTATGTTTTGTCTTTTTTTTTTTTAATTTGTAACTTCCCTTTTCTTTTTCTTTTTTTATTTTTATTATTATTATACTTTAAGTTTTAGGGTACATGTGCACAATGTGCAGGTTAGTTACATATGTATACATGTGCCATGCTGGTGTGCTGTACCCATTAACTTGTCATTTAGCATTAGGTATATCTCCTAATGCTAACCCTCCCCCCTCCCCCCACCCCACAACAGTCCCCAGAGTGTGATGTTCCCCTTCCTGTGTCCATGTGTTCTCATTGTCCAATTCCCACCTATGAGTGAGAACATGTGGTGTTTGGTTTTTTGTCCTTGCGATAGTTTACTGAGAATGATGATTTCCAATTTCATCTATGTCCCTACAAAGGACATGAACTCATCATTTTTTATGGCTGCATAGTATTCCATGGTGTATATGTGCCACATTTTCTTAATCCAGTCTATCATTGTTGGACATTTGGATTGGTTCCAAGTCTTTGCTATTGTGAATAGTGCCGCAATAAATATACGTGTGCATGTGTCTTTATAGTAGCATGATTTATAGTCCTTTGGGTATATACCCAGTAATGGGATGGCTGGGTCAAATGGTATTTCTAGTTCTAGATCCCTGAGGAATCGCCACACTGACTTCCACAATGGTTGAACT
This sequence comes from Homo sapiens, assembly GCF_000001405.40. NCBI lineage: Eukaryota > Metazoa > Chordata > Mammalia > Primates > Hominidae > Homo > Homo sapiens. The sequence continues at coordinate 4,349,015 of NT_167244.2, forward strand.
AGTTTACAGTCCCACCAACAGTGTAAAAGTGTTCCTATTTCTCCACATCCTCTCCAGCACCTGTTGTTTCCTGACTTTTTAATGATCGCCATTCTAACTGGTGTGAGATGGTATCTCATTGTGATTTTGATTTGCATTTCTCTGATGGCCAGTGATGGTGACCATTTTTTCATGTGTTTTTTGGCTGCATAAATGTCTTCTTTTGAGAAGGGGTGAAAGTCAGCATTCTTGTCTCCTTCCAGTTCTCAAGGGGAATGCTTTCAACTTCTCCCTGTTCAGTATAATTCTCTCTGTGGGTTTGTCATAGATGGCTTTCATTAAGTTGATGTATGTCCCTTCTATGCCAATTTTGCTCAGGGTTTTAATTATAAAGCGATGGTAAATTTTGTCAAATGTTTTTTCTGTGTCTTTTGAGTTGATGATGTGATTTTTGTATTTAACTGTGTTTATGTGATGTATCACATTTATTGACTTGCATATGTTAAACCATCCCTGCATCCCTGGTATGAAACCCACTTGATCATGGCGTATTATCTTTTTGACATGCTGTTGGATTCAGTTAGCTAGTGTTTTGTTGAGGATTTTTGCACCTATGTTCATCAGGGATATTGGTATGTGGTTTTCCTTTTTTTCTGCCTATTCCCAGTTTTAGTATTAGGGTGATACTGGCTTCATAGAATGAATTAGGGAAAATTCTCTCTTTCTCTATCTTTTTGAATAGTTTCAGTAAGATTGATACCAATTCTTCTTTGACTGTCTGATAGAATTCAGCTGTGAATACATCTGGTCCTGGACTTTTTCTTTTGGGCAGTTTTTAAATTATTATTTTAATCTCACTACTTGCTATTGGCCTGTTCAGAGTTTCTATTTCTTCCTGATTTAATCTAGGAGGGTTGTATATTTCCAAGAATTTGCCCATCTCCTCTAGACTTTCTAGTTTGTCTGCATAAAGGTGTTCATAGTAGCCTTCAATGATCTTTTGTATTTCTGTGGTATCGGTTGCAATATCTCCTGTTTCATTTCTAATTGAGCTTATTTGGATCTTCTCTCTTCTTTTCTTGGTTAATCTTGCTAATGGTCTGTCAATTTTGTTTATTTGTTCAAAGAACCAGCTTTTCATTTCATTTATCTTTTGTATTCTTGGTTTCAATTTCATTTATTTCTGCTCTGAAATTTATTTCAATTTCATTTATTTCTTTGCTATTTATTTTATTCTGATGGGTTTGGGTTTGGTTTGTTCTTGTTTCTCTGGTTCCTTGAAGGGTGACCTTAGATTGTCTATGTTGACTTTTTGATGTCTAGATTGACTTTTTGATGTAGGCATTTAATGCTATGAACTTTCCTCTTAGCACCACTTTTGCTGTCTCCCAGAGTTTTTGTTTTTGTTTTGTTTTGTTTTTTTGAGAGTTTCGCTCTTGTTGCCCAGGCTGGAGTACAGTGGCACAATCTTGGCTCACTGCAACCACCACCTCCTGGGTTCAAGCAATTCTCCTGCCTCAGCCTCCCGAGTAGCTGGGATTATAGGCACACACCACCACACCCGGCTGATTTTTGTATTTTTAGTAGAGATGGGGTTTCATCATGTTGGCCAGGCTGGTCTCGAACTCCCGACCTCAGGTAATCCACCCACCTCGGCCTCCCAAAGTGCCAGGATTACAGGTGTGAGCCACCGTGCCCGGCCTTCCTAGAGTTTCTGATAAATTGTGTCACTATTATGGTTCAGTTCAAAGATTTTTAAAATTTCCATCTTGATTTCATTGTTGACCTAAAGACCATTCGGGAGCAGATTATTTAATTTCCATGTATTTGTATAGTTCTGAGAATTCATTTTGGATTCAATTTCCAGTTTTATTCCACTGTAGTCTGAGAGGGTACATCATATAATTTTGATTTTCTTAAACTTATTGAGACTTGTTTTGTGGCCTACCATAACATCTGTCTTGGAGGATGTTCCACATGCTGATGAAAATAATGTATATTCTGCTGTTGTTGAGTAGAATGTTCTGTAAATATCTGTTAAGTCCATTTGTTCTACAGTGATATGGTTTGGATCTGTGTCCCCACCCAAACCTCACCTTGTAGCTCCCATAATTCCCACGTGTTGTGGGAGGCACCCTGTGGGAGATTACTGAATTATGGGGGTGGGTCTTTCCAGTGCTGTTCTTGTGACAGTGAATGGGTCTCAGGTGATCTGATGGTTCCGAAAACGGAGTTGCCCTCACAAGCTCTCTCTTTGCCTGCCACCATCCAAGGAAGATGAGACTTGCTCCTCCTTGCCTTCCACCATGATTGTCAGGCTTCCCCAGCCATGTGGAACTGTAAGTCCAATTAAACCTCTATCTTTTGTAAATTGCCCAGTCTCAGTTATGTCTTTATCGGCAGTGTGAAAACAGAATAATACAGTAAATTGGTACCGGTAGAGTGGGGCACCACAGAAAAGATACCCAAAAATGTGGAAGTGACTTTGGAACTAGGTAACAGGCAGAGGTTGCAAGAGTTTGGAGGGCTCAGAAGAAGACAGGAAAATGTGGGAAAATGTGGAACTTTCTAGAGACTTGTTGAATAATGATATGGACAATGAAATCCAGGCTGAGATGGTTTCAGATGGAGATGAGGAACTTGTTGGGAACTGAAGCAAAGGTGACTCTTGTTATGTTTTAGCAAAGACACTGGTGGCATTTTGCCCCTGCCCTAGAGATTTGTGGGACTTTGAACTTGAGAGAGATGATTTAGGGTATCTGGCAGAAGAAATTTCTAAGCAGCAAAGCATTCAAGAGGTGACTGGAGTGCTGTTAAAAGCATTCAGTTTTAAAAGGGAAACAGCATAAAAGTTTGAAAAATTTGCAGCCTGACAATGCGATAGAAAATAAAATCCCATTTTCTGAGGAGAAATTCAAGCCAGCTGCAGAAATTTGCATAAGTAACAAAGAGCCAAATGTTAGTGCCCAAAACAAGTCCCTTCCGCTGCTTCCTCTACCCCTGTGTTTCCCTCAGCTTCTAAATGGACTCAGCTCCAGTTCAGGTCAGAATCTTCTCCCATGATCTACACCTTCAGGTTCCCCAGTGAGGTATGCATTCAAGGGTGGAAGATCCCCCTTTCCCACCTCCACAGTTTGGGCACTCACAGTATTTGGGATGTCTCCCAGGTCCTGCAGGAGCAATCTGCTCCCTTCAGAGGGTCTGTGGGTTCTCTCAGCTTTCCCAGTCATTCCTGCAATAGGTCTGGAGCAAAAGTTCATGATGCAAGACTCCACAAGCTGCTCTGTCCATCCAAGTTGGAGGGGCAATGTATAATGCCTCCCGTCCACCATGATTCTGTCCCCTATTCTGTTGTATTCTATTGGTCTATGTGTCTGTTTTTTATACCAGTACTCTACTCTTTTGGTTACTACAGCCTTGTAAAATGTTTTGAACTCAGGTATTGTGATACTTCCAGCTTTGTTCTTTTTGCTCAGGATGGCTTTGCCTATTCAGGATCTTTTATGGTTCTATACAAATTTTAGGATTGTTTTTTATATTTTTGTGGAAAGTGACATTGGTATCTTGATAGGGATCACATTAAATCTGTAGATTGCTTTGGGCCATATGGTCATTTTAATGATATTAATTCTTCTGATCCATTAGCATGGAATTTCTTTCCATTTGTTTGTGTCCACTTCAATTTCTTTCATCAGTGTTTTGTAGTTTTCCTTGTAGGGATCTTTCACCTCTTTGGTAAAATTTATTCCAAGTATTTTATCATATTTTTTGTAGCTATCATAAATGGAATTCTCTTCTTCATTTCTTTTTCAGCTATTTCATTGTTGGTGAATAGAAATGCTACTTATTTCTGCATATTAATTTTGTATCCTGCCAAGTCTACTGAATTGGCTTATCAGTTCTAAGAGTGTTCTGGTGGAGTGTTTGGTTTTTCTAAATATAAGATTATTTTGGAACTTGCTTTATGAGCTCTTGCCAGGAAGATGGCAGACAGGAGACAGGGCTGATGTGCAGCCCCCCTTGGATAGATAGAATAGTACTATGTTGAGTAGGAGGGGTGAACATGTGTATACTTGTCTTTTCCCAGTTCCTAAAGAAAAAGCTTTCAACTTTTCACCATTCTGTATGATGTTAGCTGTGGGTTTTGTCACATAGAGCCTTTATTATATTAAGGCATGATCCTTTTATGCCTAGTTTGTTGAGAGTTTTTATTACGAAAAGGTGTTGAATTTTATCAAATGCTTCTTCTGCATTTATTGAGATAGTCATATGGATTTTGGCCTTCATCATGTTGATGTGATGTATCACATTCATTGATTTGTGTATGTTGAAATATCCTTGCATCCTTGCTGTAAATCCTACTTGATCACATTATATTATTGTTTTGATCTACTGTTGGATTCGGTTTGCTCCTATTTTGGTAAGTATTTTTCCATCTGTATTCATCAGGATATTCACCTGTAGTTTTCTTTCTTGGAGCATCCTTGTCTGGGTTTGCCATTAGGGTAATGCTAGCCTCACAGAATGAGTTTGGGAGAATTCCCTCTTCTTCAACTTTTTGGACCAGTTGGAGGAAAATCGGTGGTGGTTCTCTGAAAGTTTGGTGGAATTTATCAGTGAAACTATATGCTCCTGGATTTTTCTTTTTTGGGAGATTTTTTATTACTGATTCCATTTCAGTACTCAGTATTAGTCTGTCCAGATTTTCTTTCTTCCTGATTCAATCTTGGTAAGTTGTATGTTTCCAGAAATTTATCCATTTCCTCTTGTTTCTCCAGTTTGTTACCATATGTTTGTTCATAATGGTTTCTGATTATCTTTTGTATTTATGTGGGATCTGTTGTAATAGCTTCTTTTTCATTTATGATATGGTTTACTTGGGTATTCTCTTTTCTTTTCTTGGTTAGTCTAGTGTGGGGGTTCAGTCAGGATGGTGGGAGAAATTGTAAAATTATAGGATATAGACACAAACCTTCTTGGAAGGCCGGAAGGTATTTGCAAAAGTCTCAAGATAGGGTTATGGCTGAAAGCAGCGTAATCCTTACCTTGAGTTAATTGCTTGGGGCACAGATACAAAGGAACATTTATCTAAATAGCTTGTTTACTCATGTGGTCGTAAGACCAACATTTGATCAACTGCAGATGCATAATTGCTCTCTACTTGGGGGGGTCGGCAAACAGGTCAATTGCCCTCTAGTGGTGTGAACAAATGCGAGCTTTGCTGGTTGATCAGGGCCATAGATGCAACTCTTTACAGCACCTTCCTTGGTGTCTGTGTGTGGCCTGGACCCTCAGCTGAACTGACAAGCAAGATATCTGTGTCAGTGTACACCTCTCATCCATTACTGGGTCAGGGTCTGTGGGTCAGACTACCACAGCTGGTGCCCCGCGTGAGGAATGCTGCAAGGGGAGATTGATGAACCCCCTGAAAATGAAGGTGAAAAAGGAACTGCGCAGTCAGTGAGTAATCAGTAAGTCATTGGTACTTGCTTGGGATTTCCAAGTTCGGGGCGGGGGATTGTTCAGGCTAAGGTTTCATCATGGGACAACAGTTATCAGCTCAACAGAAACAGTATATAAAAGTATTGAAATGGCTGCTTAAAGCTAGCAGAGCCTCAGTTTCACAGGTTTAATTAAGGAACCTAATGCAAACTGTTGTATCCCATAACCCATGGTTCCCCCAAGAAGGCATGCTAGACCTAGAGCTCTGGGAACGAGTGGGAAAAAATCTTAAGCAACATCATGTTCAAGGGTAACGGGTCCCAGTATCATCTTTAATGCTATGGGCCTTAGTAAGGGCGGCTTTGGTCCCATTATACACAGAAGAGCCTAAAAAGGGGAAGGACAAGGCACCATCATGTATTTTACCACCCGCAAGTTCCTCAGCCCTGATATCACCAGGCCAAAATAACAAAGAGGAAATGGAGGTTTTGCCTGAGCCCCCTCCTCCAATAGATAGGAAAAAAGACAGGAGACATGCTCCAGCTATGGGACCTTGTCTTAAGCAAGTGGCATTGGAAGGGGAGCTCTTAGCCTGCCTGGTAATGCAAGACCGACAAGGCAATCAGGTACATGAACCCATTTCTTTTAATGCTTATAAGGAGCTAAGAAAAAGCATTAAAGAAAACAGAGCTGCTAGCCCATTTATGAAAGGAATGATTGAGGCCTTGGCAGACCACTTTTCTATGACCCCATGGGACTGGGCAATGCTAACCAAAACAACTTTGGAGCCTAGCCAATACCTCCTCTGGAAGGCAGAATATGATGAGCTGTGTGAACAACAAGCTAACCAGAATCAGGCGACGGGGCAAGACCTAACAGCTGCTATGCTCCAGGGGAAGGATCCCCATGCCTATGTACAACGACTAGATTTTGATTCCCCAGGCCTAAAATCAAGTGTCTTTGTGTGCTCTCAGGGCTTGGGACTGAATTCCTGAAAGTGGAGTTTAGCAAGGATCTTTTATAAATGTTCAACAAGGGCCTCAGGAGCCATTTGTTGAGTTTTTCAATTGGTTAACCCAGGCAATTAAGAGACAAATTAGTCACGCCCAGGCTGCTGATATCTTATTGTTGCAATTGGCTTTTGAAAACTCTCATGTGGATCACCAGCAGGCAATGCAGGCAATCAGAAGAAAGGCAGCCACAGTCGGGGAACTTATATGAGCATGTCAGCTGGTGGGAACTGAGACACACAAGCCAAAATATTGGTTATGGCATTAAGGCCTCCTAAAGTGAAAAGGGAGAGAAGCCAAAGTTGTTTTCTATGTGGAGAGCCAGATCATATGAAGAGGGAATGCCCCCATAATAGAGACGAAGGTAACTCAGGGAAAGAACCCCCTTCTATATGCCCCGGATGTAAAACGGTGAAACATTGGGCAAATCAATGCAGGTCAAAATTTGATAAAAACAGAAACCCCATAAGTAACCAGGTGGGAAACTTCATGATGGGCTGGCCCTAGGCCCTGCTTCAAACTGGGGCAATCCCACCAGCTTTCCTCGGTCTGATGGAGAGCTCACAGTCCTCTCTCTCAGAGCAGCCACCACTGGGAGTGCAGGACTGGACTTACTCTGCCCCAACAAATCAGTGCTGAAAGAAGGAGAAGACCCTAAAAGGGCTGCATACGGGATCTGGGGCCAGCTGCCTCCAGAAGCAGTGGGATTAGTCCTAGGGCGGTCTAGCCTGTCCAGTAAAGGAATTAATGTGCTCACTGGGGTAATTGGTAGTGATTACCAAGGTGAGATATTGGTTATGATGGAATGTAAAGGTCTGAATATTCTTCCCCCTGGATCAAAGATAGCTCAGTTACTGATTTTGCCATACTGGGTCCCCAGTGCCCACGGAAAGGAAAGGGGAAAGGAAGTTTTGGGAGCACAGGAGCCACAGGAGTATATGGGAATCAATTAATCACTGATCAGAGACCCATGATTATCTTAAAAATTGGAAATAATAATTTTACTGGCTTATTGGACACAGGGGTGGACGTTTCAATCATTAGTGATCAAAACTGGCTAGAAATTTGGCCTTGGGTCACTCAGAAATAAAAAATGGTCTGCATCAGGGAAGCACACAGAGCCAAGCAGAGCATGCACCCCCTAACCTGTTGCAATTCAGAAGGAAGAAAGGCAGTTATACAACCCGTAAGCATGCGCATCCCTGTTAATCTTTGGGGACAGGATTTATTAGCCCAATGCGGGAGGGGTGACTCTCAGCCCCCTTTATAACAATGGCCACTGTTATTATTCCTCCCCTACCCCCGTCGTAGCTCTCTCAAGATCCAATTTGAGTAGAACAGTGGCCTCTGAAGGGAGAGAAATTACAAAAAGCCTGTGAATTAGTTGAAGAGCAATTAAAAGCTGGGCATGTAGAACCATCTATTTGTCCTTGGAATTTGCCCATTTTCATCATTCCCAAAAAGTCTGGGAAATGGAGATTTTGCATGACCTATGTGCTGTTAATGCTAATTTGCAACCTATGGGACCCCTTCAACAGGGCCTCCCATCCCCTGTGGCGATTCCTCGAGATTGGCCTATAATCATTATTGACTTAAAGGACTGCTTTTATATGATTCCCCCAGCAGAACAGGACAGAGAAAAATTTGCATTTACAATACCAGCTATCAATAATGAAAGGCCAGCTTGTTGATTTCATTGGAATGTGCTTCCTCAAGGGATGCTAAACAGTCCTACCAAGTGTCAGTATCATGTAAATCAAGCTTTGCTCCCAGTAGAAAAGAATTTCCTAATTGCAAGATTATTCGTTTTATGAATATTTTACCAGCAACCCCAACAGAGCCAATACTTTTAAATTTATATACCTCTGTCATAAAGAATAAACAGCTAAGAGGTTTAATCATTGCACCTGAAAAAGTACAACTTTCTCTCCTTGGAAATATATCTTGGGTACATGCTAACTTCCTGGTCAGTAAGACCTCAAAATGTTAAATTAAATACTAGCAACTTACATTCCTTAAATGATTATCAGAAATTACTAGGTGATATCAACTGGCTCTGCCCCACTTTAGGCATTCCTACTTATAAGCTGCAAAACCTGTTTTCTATCTTAAAGGGCAATATAGCCCTGAATTCTCCCAGATATTTAAACCCTGCAGCAAAAAGGGAAATTGAGGAAATAGAACAAGCCATCTCTCAGAGGCAACTAGATCACATAGACACCCATTATTTCATCCAGTTGTTTATTTTCCCCACCAAACACTCCCCTTCAGGATTAATAGGACCGATGACCCCAGGACTGCGCTTTCTAGAATGGATTTTTTTTTGCTCACATACCAGGACTAAAACACTCTTTCCCTACATTCAGTTAATTAGTAAAGTCGTATATTCAGGCCTCAAACAATGCAGTCAGTTGCTAGGCTATGATCCTGATATCCTGAAATCATCAGGATTCCTTTAAGTAAAAAGCAATTAGAAGCAGTTTTGTCCCTATTGTTAGATCTGCAAATAGCTCTCTCTGATTACACAGGACAAATAGAGCATGTTCTTCCTGCTGATAAATTCCTTCATTTCTTATCTCATACTCCTGTGATCTTGCCAACAAAAATAGTTCACTCCTCCATACCTAATGCTTTAACATTGTTTTCTGATGATTCAGGCAAACATGGAAAGGCGGCAATCTGGTGGAGACCACATAATTCACTCACTCAATCTGGGTTTACTAGCATTCAGAGAGGTGAGATCGGGGCCCTGATATTGGCCTTGGAAACTTTTTCTACTCAGCCATCAATATAGTTAGTGATTCTGCCTACTTTGTTTATTTATTGCAAAATCTTGAAGCAGCCGTAATTAAGTCCACTCTGGAGCCTGCCCTGTGTGCTCTTTTTCTCTGATTTCAGCAATTGCTAGATCAATGTACACATCCTATTTTTATTACACACATTCGAGTCCACAGCTCACTGCCTGGCCCACTGGCTTATGGCAGTGATCAAGGAGACCTTCAGGTGATGACATCACTGCTTGACCAAACCACCCAATCGCATCAATTTTTCCACCAAAATTGGAGAAACTTATCTAAGCAATTTCAACTTACCCAGAGACTGGCTAAACAAATTATCCCACAATTCTCAAATTGCCAGCTAACAGGCATGTCCCCTCCTTCAAAAGGTGTTAACCCTAGAGGATTAGAACCTAATCAGTTATGGCAAATAGAAGTTACATCCCTGAAATTGGAAAACTAAGATATGTACATGTATCCATTGATACCAGCACTCATCTAATTAGTGCACACGCTCTTCCTTGGAGAGTCCACTCAATATGTCATTAAACATCTTCTTTCAACTTTTGCATGTATGGGGCGGCCCATAAAAATTAAAACTGATAATGGTCCAGTTTATGCCAGCTCACAATTTCAACAATTTTGTCACACGTGGAATATCCAACGTTCCATAGGCATCCCGTATAACCCCCAAGGACGGGCCATAGTAGAACGTGCCCACTCCAGCCTTAAAAATATGCTCAAAAAACAGAAAAGGGGGAGTATGGGTAAAGACCCTGCAACACTATTGGCACAAGCCTTATTTACCCTTAATTTTTAAAATGTAGATGACAAATTTCAATCAACTATAGAGAAACACTTTTTGCTAAAACCTCTCAAGACATAAAACCTGCAGTTTTATGGAAAGATGTAAGCAGTAATGTATGGTGTGGTCCAAATGAATTGTTAACTTGGAGAAGAGGGTATGCTTGTGTCCACACCCCCTCAAGTCCTCTTTGGATTCCAGCAAGACACATCAAACCATACCATGACATGGCTAGGACTCAACCCGGTACCAGAAATGAAGGAACTAACCCTGCAGGACCCACGGTCCCGGATGATGCAGCTTCCGTGGATGACACAAACCCTAGACATTACTGGGGGATGCTGAAGAGGACAACTCAGGAGGCTGAATGAACCCTGCTCTGGACACAGACACCATTCACTCCAGATAATTTGCTCCTTGCTATGATTTCTGTTGTACATTGCAACTCATGTAGGGTATTGATCCTTTTTATGCTCGTGCTTTGTCTGCAACCTGTTCCTGCTACACTCTATTGGGCTCATATCTTAGATCCGCCTTTCTTTCACCCTGTCACCTAGGCAGACACTCCCTTCCCAACTTTTAATAACATAACTGCTTGGCTAGGAGGGATAGATTTACCCCCAGTGGGGTCCCTCGATAATGGCATACACTGGACTAAGGTGCCAGACACACTACATATCACTCCACTATCCTCCCACTGTGTGTAAGTTATAAAGATTATAACCCTTACTGTGTACCTGCCCAAACACAATTATGGCTACATCATGGCAAAAGAAATGCCTTTAAAGTCTTAGCTGCAGGTAGCTTCAAATCAGGTAATGCAATCAATGATTCTTTCCCAAACATTCCTTCCTGTGCTAAAGAATAAAGCTGGGAAAGTAATGGATTCCACTTTAGCTGGGAGGTCTGTCACGGGGAATAAGCTTGTAGCCTCCAGCTAGGCCATTATAATACCTTAGACTGGAGCCCCCACGGCCATTTTCAGGGCATCCTTACTGATGTCCTCATCTATCATGGTGTTAATCACAGTTTTGTAGCCTCATCACGTTCCCCTATGATTTAGGCCAATGGGGGGGATGGGTTATCCCATACCCCAAGTAAAGTCCATGCTACCCAAGACACTTTACGGTACCTGGGACATCTTAGCACCTCCTTTTCACCTGGCATGGGACATATCATAATTCCAGTGGCAAATACACTATAACCTTTATTCATAATCACACTGATCAGTGCCTAATTTATACTACCCATACATATATTTTCCTTATGGAAACTGATACTTCCATTACACCCCAAAACTCCGCATTTGTGACCCAGGTGCAGGAACAGGCTTGGTTTGCCTCATGTATCACTAATTATAATACATCTAATTTAAATATTACTAGTGTCATGGTATTAAGGAGACAATCTGAGGCATTCCTACCCAGTCAATTTGACATGCGATTGGCAAGGTTCCTCTGCCCTTGCCACCTAAGAATGTGCCCTGTCCTAGGCCAGACCCAAAAGATACATAGGCACACTTACAGCCTTTATAGTCTCAGCCACAGTCATCCTAGCAACTGCTAGTGTGGCTGTAGCAGCTATTACTGAATCAGTACAAATAGGTGCTTTTGTAGATAATTTGGCCAGAAATGTGTCTAATGAACTTCTCTTACAGCAGGGTATAGAGCAAAAGATTCTTGCACGTCTGCAAGCCCTTGAGGCCCTTGAGGCTGCCCTGGAATATATGGGGGAGTAACAAGATGCACTGGCATTCTAACAGCAATTAAACTGCGACTGGGCGCATAAACATATCTGTGTCACTTCTCTATCATAGAGTCAATCAATACATAGTTGGGATGAAGTGAAACAACACCTCTGGGGAACAATTCATGACAATTTAATAGCAGATGTAAAGCAACTTCAAACTAAAATTTTAGAATCCCTTCCCACTATAGATCTACACACCCAACAAACAGCCATATGGAAGGGTGTGCAAGATCATCACTCCTGGTTAGACCCCCACTCCTGGGGTTCACTCTTTGACTGGAAAAGAATATTGCTAATTATTCTCATGATTGTCTTATGTTATTTGCTAATTCTAGGATGCAAAGCCGGAATAAAAGCGATGACTGCCTTGCCTGACAGACGTGTTGCTGCACACAACTGTACACTTCAGTCAACAGAAGAGTGTGTGCACTAATTAGATAAGTGTTCGTATCAATGGATACATGTACATATCTTAGTTTTCCAAATTCAGGGATGTAACTTCTGTTTGCCATAACTGATTAGGTTCTAATCCTCTAGGGTTAACACCTTTTGTGTTAGAACCTGTGAAGTAGAAGTAACTCAGAAGTGCTCCTCAGAGAGTAGACAGCTCTTTCTCTAACCGTTTCCAGCTCAGTAGAATTTAGAAAGGCTTCTAGGAGGCCAACCAGTCTTTTTGATCCAACATTGAATTGTAAAACCGGATATGGAAGCCAAATTTCACAGTGGATCTAACAAAGTAGCTAATGGGTACTATGCTTCTGAGAACCTGAACAGGCCTCTGAGAGCTGTAACTAGAAGAAAAGTAAAGACTCCGGACTCCAGCACCAAGCAGGTTTTCCTTAGCAATTTACAACCTGAAGCTCCAAGGAAAAACTATTTTAGCATACACCAAAACTATTCCCATGTGCCAACAGGTAAGGAGACTTGTACTTATATTCTGTTTTATTCTTCTCTAACTCGTTTCTGTGCACTATTTCTATGTTTTCTCCTTAGTTTTACCTTGCCTGGGTTTGCCCATTTGTTATTCATATCTATTTATCAATCCCAAAATACTAAAAGGATCCAGGCAGGGCAGCTTTAATTGGTGGCTGCACAGAGTGCTACTTCCTGTGAGGCAGCAATTCTAACCCTAGTTGGCATACACTTCAGATTTTCTCAACAGCAGAAGATGTAACCTTCCCAAGAACCCACTTCAACCCTCAGTTCTCTCACTTCTATGTCCACGTGACACTCTGATACATTTTCCCACTATGAAACAGAACTGTTCTCTTGATAGCATGCCATACCTCTCCCTTCTCTGCAACTCACTCAGGACAATCTCAGTACCTTTATTACCTGGTCACAAGTGAGGATGCTTCACACTCAAATCTCATTGGCTGGAGGGAAAGTCATTAAGCAGAAGTGATAATTCTTGTCATCACAGCTTTCTCCAAACCTTCTCCATCGGCATTTTACTCTCACTCTTAGAGCTTAGCTTCAACCATCAAACAGACAGTTGAGTGTTCAACAGTCCCTTTATGGGACAGATTTTTTTAGTTGACTGTGTATTCTAACCCTGAGCAATGGGGCCCCTGGCTAAGAGAGAGAAGGGAAAGCAGAGAGGGAAGTGTTGCAATGCTACCTTTTCAGAGAGGAAATAGAGACAAATAGTTTTTATGGGTGTAATACACAGCCTCCACTGTCCCACAATAAGAGCAATTGAGCTTAAATACCAAAAAGGGCTTTTCTATGTGAGCTGAAAACAGAAAGAGAGAGCAAATGGGAGGATGGGCTGGAGTAATCTTGTTTGAAGTTCTCTCATCCTAAGGAAGAACCTTTTCTTCCTCTGTCATACACGAGTGCTTAGGGCTTACATAAGCCCCATCTGCACGCTGCTAGGAGCAGATCATCCTACTCAAGACAATAAAAAAGGAATCATCATGTACCTTACATATTTAGAGATACGTGCGTACACTTTTCTCATAAATAAAGCAACACACCCCTGCCTGACCTCCTAGGACCTCCATAGTTGAGGTATAGTTATTTGGAGTCAGAGATTCTTAAACCAATCCTGGTTCTGCTTTTTTCACTTCACCAAACCAAACTTGACCAGATTCTTTAATGGCTCCAAAATCACAACCCTTTGAACTATTTTACTCCTGTTTTCCATTTTCCTTTATACCTCTGTCCAGGTGGTACAGATTTTTCTTAAAAATCTATGTCTGAGTGTACAGAGCTTCAAGTAAAGTTCAAGCAGGGAATAGGAGATCTATCACCTTCCTTATTACAGAAATATTGCTGATATTAATGCAGGCTAATGTTATATTAAGTCCCTTGACAGGTATATCAAACTATTTGGTCTTATCCAGTTGGTGGTCAACCAGATAGTTATAAGTGAGATGGAGAGACAGGTCATTCTCTTCCCATAGCCCTCTCTTCCTTACCCTATTTACCCCAAAACGCTGAGGCAGGAAATAATGCATACTCCTTTGTGCACTGCTCCTCCATTTCCCATTTTTAAATGGAGACATACTTAAGGCATAATCTTCAGCCCTTTGCTCATCTCTCTACACTCATTCTCCTGCAGATCTCAGTCACCCTCATGGCATCAATCATGATGCCACAGAAAAACCCATTAGTGTATAGTCTCTGGCTTCATCTCAGTATATGTACTGGGCACATCCGTCTGGATGTTCCGTCATTACCTCAAACTCTGTCCTTAATTTTTTTGTTAGAAACATCTCTTCTCTACAAACCATGCTTTGTGTTCAGCATGCTCATCTGGCATCCAGTTTAAGAAGGATATCTTCTGGCCATGATTTGATTTTTGTATGAAAAAAATCTTTGTTGTAGAAATCAGCATACTATTTTTTTTTTATTATTATTATTTTATTGATCATTCTTGGGTGTTTCTCGCAGAGGGGGATTTGGCAGGGTCACAGGACAATAGTGGAGGGAAGGTCAGCAGATAAACAAGTGAACAAAGGTCTCTGGTTTTCCTAGGCAGAGGACCCTGCGGCCTTCCGCAGTGTTTGTGTCCCTGGGTACTTGAGATTAGGGAGTGGTGATGACTCTTAAGGAGCATGCTGCCTTCAAGCATCTGTTTAACAAAGCACATCTTGCACCACCCTTAATCCATTCAACCCTGAGTGGATACAGCACATGTTTCAGAGAGCACAGGGTTGGGGGTAAGGTCACCGATCAACAGGATCCCAAGGCAGAAGAATTTTTCTTAGTACAGAACAAAATGAAAAGTCTCCCATGTCTACCTCTTTCTACACAGACACGGCAACCATCCGATTTCTCAATCTTTTCCCCACCTTTCCCCCGTTTCTATTCTACAAAACCGCCATTGTCATCACGGCCCGTTCTCAATGAGCTGTTGGGTACACCTCCCAGACGGGGTGGTGGCGGGGCAGAGGGGCTCCTCACTTCCCAGTAGGCGCGGCCGGGCAGAGGCGCCCCTCACTTCCCGGATGGGGTGGCTGGCCGGGCGGGGGGCTGACCCCCCCACCTCCCTCCCGGACGGGGCGGCTGGCAGGGCAGGGGGCTGACCCCCCCACCTCCCTCCCGGACGGGGCGGCTGGCTGGGCAGAGGGGCTCTTCACTTCCCAGTAGGGGCGGCCGGGCAGAGGCGCCCCTCACTTCCCGGATGGGGTGGCTGGCCGGGCGGGGGGCTGACCCCCCCACCTCCCTCCCGGATGGGGCGGCTGGCCGGGCAGGGGACTGACTCCCCCACCTCCCTCCCGGATGGGGCGGCTGGCCGGGCAGAGGGGCTCCTCACTTCCCAGTAGGGGCGGCCGGGCAGAGGCGCCCCTCACCTGCCGGACGGGGCGGCTGGCCGGGCGGGGGGCTGACCCCCCCACCTCCCTCCCGGAGGAGGTGACTGCCGGGCGGAGACGCTCCTCAATTCCCAGACAGGGTGGCTGCTGGGCGGAGGGGTTCCTCACTTCTCAGACGGGGCGGTTGCCAGGCAGAGGGTCTCCTCACTTCTCAGACGGGGCGGCCGGGCAGAGACGCTCCTCACATCCCGGACGGGGCGGCAGGGCAGAGGTGCTCCCCACATCTCAGACGATGGGCGGCCAGGCAGAGACGCTCCTCACTTCCCAGATGTGATGGCGGCCGGGAAGAGGCGCTCCTCACTTCCTAGATGGGATGGCGGCCGGGCAGAGACGCTCCTCACTTTCCAGACTGGGCAGCCAGGCAGAGGGGCTCCTCACATCCCAGACGATGGGCGGCCAGGCGGAGACGCTCTTCACTTCCCAGACGGGGTGGCGGCCGGGCAGAGGCTGCAGTCTCGGCACTTTGGGAGGCCAAGGCAGGCTGCTGGGAGGTGGAGGTTGTAGCGAGCCGAGATCACGCCACTGCACTCCAGCCTGGGCACCATTGAGCACTGAGTGAACGAGACTCTGTCTGCAATCCCGGCACCTCGGGAGGCCGAGGCTGGCGGATCACTCTCGGTTAGGAGCTGGAGACCAGCCCAGCCAATACAGCGAATCCCCATCTCCACCAAAAAAATACGAAAACCAGTCAGGTGTGGCGGCGCGCGCCTGCAATCGCAGGCACTCGGCAAGCTGAGGCAGGAGAATCAGGCAGGGAGGTTGCAGTGAGCCGTGATGGCAGCAGTATCGTCCAGCTTCGGCTCGGCATCAGAGGGAGACTGTGGAAAGAGAGGGAGAGGGAGACCGTGGGGAGAGGGAGAGGGAGAGGGAGAGGGAGACCGTGGGGAGAGGGAGAGGGAGAGACACTATTTTTTAAAATATGGAGAGAAGATATTCTGGTGGCTGAAAGTGTGGTCTGGTGTCAGATATAAATGTGCAAATGCCTTCTTGCTGTCCTGTCGGTCTCAGTACATTCACCTTATAGCTGCTGGAAATATCGAAGGTTCCTTTTTTGTTTGTGTAAACTCTAATTTCTATCAAGGTGTCATGGACTTTTAAAATTAGTATTTCATTACAAATGTCTCAGCATTGGTCAATTTTTGCCAGGACCATTATTGATCAAGCAAATAAATTCAACAGCCATTAGGAAAAAAAAAGAAGGCCATCTTCTTTTTTCAATAAATGTATTATATAGTTAATAGTTTCATTTATATAGAATGCATAGAAACTGTTCACAGAATGTCCAGCATTTTGTATTTTTGCAGTAGGGAACATTTCTTCACTGAATTCCACTTTCACATTAGATAATTTAATAGTTTTATGGAGAAAGTAAAATGCCCGCCCCCCTCCCCCACCCAAAATTGAAAATTTCAGTTGTTGGTTTTCATGGACACACCTTATCAGGTAATTCCTTTTTATTCCTAGTTTTCTAGGACTTTTTATCATGAATGAGCAAATGCCTTTTTCTGCATCCATTTACATAATTACATAATTTTTCTTTTGTATTCTGTTAAGATGTGGAATCACATTGATTTTTTGCATGTTAAACATGCCTTCCATTCCTGGCATAAACTTTTATGATCATGTTATATCATCCTTTTTAATATATTATTGAATTCAATTTTAAAAAATATTTTGTTAAACATTTTCATGGCTATGTTTGTGTGTCTTTAGTTTCCTTTTCTTTTAATGTCATTGTTTGATGTTAGTATATTGGACTTGTAAATTATTGGGATGTGTTTTCTTCTGCTCTTTTGTTGAAAGAGTTTGTATTGAGTTTGTATTGTTTCTTCCTTAAATGTATAATAGAATTAATCATACAGACATTAAAAGTATTATGACAGTATTATGACAGAATACTATGGATTAATCAATGAAGCCATCTGACCTGGAAACCATTTGGCCTTCTCTGTGAGAAGGATTTTTAAAATTACAAACTTAATTTCTTCCATTGACAGAGATTTCTTCTTGATTTAGTTTTGGTAATTTGAATCGTTCAAGAAATGTTTCTATTTCATGTTGTTAAAATAAAAATTTTAGAGAAGTTGAATTTAACAGAGTTTATTTAGCAAAGAACAATTCATGAATTGGGGAGCCCTCAGAACCCAGAAAGATTCAGAAAGCTCTGTCCAGCAACATGTGAAGGCAGTGTTTATAGATAAAAACAGGAAGTGATACTCAAAACCAGCCAATTTATTACAGCTCAGTGTTTGCCTTATATGGGCATGGCGTGATGAGGCATTTGCCTTATGGGGGACATAATATGATCACTTGGCAGCCTGTGATTGGCTGAGACTCAGCTATTTATTACAACACTCTTAAGTTAGGCTGTAGTTTGTTTGCATAACGCAGTTATGTTAAGTTGGGTTAGTTTGCTATGTAGGAATTTAAGATATGGAGAAAGCTTTACACCAAATTTAATTTAATTTAACAATGTAAATTGTCAAATTTATTGTCATTTTTGTTTATTGGCATTTTCATAGCATTCTGTCATAATACTTTTAATGTCTGTATGATTTGTTGTGACGTACCCACTTCCATTTCTGATATTGGGGATTTGAGTCTTATCTCTTTTTCTTGATCCATCTACCTAGAGATTCATGAATGTATTGAGCCTTATTGAAAACCAGCAATTGACTTTGTTTATTTTCTTTATTGTTTGTCCATTTTATTGCATTTATTTCTGATCTTATTAATCTTGGGATTCATTTGACTTTTTTTTTCTAGCTTCTTAAGATGGGAACATAGATGGTTGATTTTAGAGTTTCCCTCCTTTCCAATTATGTAAAGTTATAAATTATTCTCTAATTAGTGTATCATACTAATTTTGATAGTGTGCTTTCATATTCACTCAGTTCAAAATATTTTCTAATTTTCCTTCTGACTCTTTTTAAATCCAGGTGCTGTTTAGCAGTATACTTTTTAATTTCTAGGTATTTGGGACTTTCAAGGTATTTTTCTGTTATTGGTTTCTAATTTAATGCTATTGTGGTCCGAGAATGTATTCTGTATGATTTCAATAGAGACATTTATTTATTTAGACATTTATTTATATGTGTTTATGACCCAGTGTATAGTCTGTCCTGTGGAATATTCTTGAGCATTTGAAAATAATGTGTATTCTGCCACTATTGGGTGGAATATTCTACAGATCTTGATTAGATCACGTTGGTTCATTGATAATGTTATTTAAATCTATCATGTCCTCATGAAGTTTTTTCCTAAATATTTTATTGTTTACTGAGTGCTAGAATACTAAAATATAATTGTGAATTTGTCTATTTCTGATTTATTTTTATCATTTTTGGTATAATGTGATTTAAGACATATTTTCTAAGAACAAACACATTTAGGATTGTTATATGTTGATAATAAAATGATCCTTTTATCATTATGAACTATCCTTCTTTCTCCTTGGTAATATTTCTGAGTCTTATATTTCTGATATTAACACAGCCACCAATACTTCCATGGTTGGCATTATTTTCGTTTTTTTTTTTTTTTACTTTAAGTTCTGGGATACATGTGCAGAATGTGCAGGTTTGTTACATAGTTATACATGTGCCATGTGGTTTGCTGCATCTATCAACCCATCATCTAGGTTTTAAGCCATGCATACATTCGGTATGTGTCCTAATGCTCTCCCTCCCCTTGCTCCCCATGCCCTGACAGACCCTGGTGTGAGGTGTTCCCCTCCCTGTGTCCATGTGTTCTAATTGTTGAACTCCCACTTACGAGTGAGAACGTGTGGTGTTTGGTTTTCTGTTCCTGTGTTAGTTTGCTGTGAAGGATGGCTTCCAGCTTCATCCATGTCCCCACAAACAACATGAACTCATTTTTTTATGGCTGCATAGCATTCCACGGTATACATGTATTTTCCCATTCTTTTACTTTTTACCTGTCTTTGCCTTCATATTTAAAGAGGGCATTATGTAGAGAGCATGAAGTTGGCCTGTAGATTTTTTTGTGCATTCTGACAATCTTTCCCTTTTCATTAGAATATTTAGGCCATGTGCATTTAATTCAATTATTAGTATGGTTGTTTTAAACTCTACCATCTTACAGTTTGTTTTCTTTTTGTCTTACCAGACTTTCCCTTTTTTATTTCTTTATTTTGAATTAATTATGCTTAGTGTTCTATTTTATCTTCTCCATTGGCCTCTTGGCTATACCTCTTTTTTTTTCAATAGTTATCAGGAGCTTAAAATATTCATCTTAATACATTCTACCTTCAAATAATAACACACCACTTAACATGTATAAGAAACTTACAACATTATACTTCCATTTCTCCCTTCTATTCTTTGTGCCATTGTCATCATATTTTACTTCTGGGTATGTTATAAACCCCCAAATAATTTTTACTTTAAACAATTCCTTTTTTAACTTAAAAAAAACTAGAGAACATGTTTTTATATTTATCTGAATTTTTACCATTTCATGCTTTTTTCATCGTAATATCTAATGAACACTCATAAAGAAACAAAATCCTTGCTCAAATAAGATATTTTTCTTCATAATCATCACTATTCTCAAACCTTTGAAAGCTCTGGTAATCATGATTTAAGTTCTCCCACATGGAGTGACTATGGCTGGTAAAAATTGCAATGAATTAGGGCATTTTAAAAATTTTATTTCTTGGCTCTTAGTTTATCATGTAGAAAAATCCTCCATGAAATATTGCTATAATTACAATACAGCCTTGGGAAGGAAGCTCAGGGGCTGTGAATGGAATCCTAATCTGCCTGAAATCTTGATCCAGACAGACCAAATCTCTTCCCTCAGAGACTTCAAACACTGCAGTCTTCAAACTACATCCAAGAAAATCTTCATCCAAGTAAAATTTCCCCCAAATATCCTTTCTCTACCCCACCCTATCCTGTAGTTAGGGAAAAACCCAGGACTGAATCAATATCCTCAGACCTTTCCGTTCAAGTGGGATCAGAACCTTTAGTAACCACATCGGCAACAGAGGTTGAAACCACACCTTCAAGAAATAGTATTCACATGTGACCTGGTCCTAGACTTCCAGTAAGAATGACTCAGAGTCTCCCCGCTCTGAAATACTGAAGTATTTATTGGTCTTAGGGTATTCTCGGGAAGGTGACAGTGAGGGGTTCTTCAAAGGAGAACAGAGGATAAAAGGCTCAATGAAAGGATAATCTCCATATTAGTGCTACCAAAGTGTCATTAATTTCTATTTGTTGGAAACTTTACTAAGGAATGACTGCTTTGAGGTAATGGATAAGGACAGAGCTTGAAGGGTCAGCAATTCAGTCAGCCACTGGAGTAGTTTTCACATGAAGTGAGAAGAAAAGCTGAGATGGAGTTTGTAGGGCAGCTGGAGTTCAGATCTCTCCTAAGTCCTCTTCTGTTCAGATATTTTGTCACCTGCAGCAACACACACAGTTATTGTCATTCCTGGGTTCAGTACTGTAAGCCCGGACCCATCTTCCCCACTCCCTTTGCACCCGAGCTTCCCATTTCTCTGCCCTGTTCAGGTCCCAGGGAGAAGGTGGTCATCCCTGCACATGCCCTGGTCCTCCAGGTGAAGAGCACATAGGAGCCAAGGAGTTCACGAAAGTCATTGAATTTCACCCTCAAACCCCAGCTGACTGTGAGGCCATCCCACATGCTTCATGTCTCCAAAATATACAGACAAGGGGAAGGGCCACATTACTGAGGGCAGAGAAGAAGCTTAACCCTGGAATGAGAATTGGAAGGGACAAATATCCAAACCATATCAATGACGGCAATGAACGAAGGATACTTGCTCACATTGTGTATACTGCTCTTTGAAAGGATTTCAAAAACCAAGGTAAATTTTCTAAAATGACCTCTGTTGAACATCTGACAGCAGTACTTCCTCCTTCCTGAATTCTTTAATTCCTTGGCTCATGTGACAGCATATTCTCCTAATTCTTCTGCTTCTCTGCTTCTCCATTTTTGTTAAATACTCCTCTTTGGATGTTTTGTTAATCATGTATCTTTGCATTAATTTTGCCTTTTCAAGATATTTCATTAAAATATGATTTATTACTGAGTTCTTTTGGTATCCCCCAAATTTTGCACCTAAGCCAAGTGCATCCCCTACATCACCCTAGTCCCAGCCCTCTTTTCCATTCTTCCTCTTAACATCTGACATTCTACATTCACTTCACTCTGTTACAAATCATTATAGATATAATTATAAATGTGTGTGAACTAAGAAAAATAAACAAGAATTTGTCCTACTGGATACTAACACACACTACAATGTCATAGTAATCAAAATACTAGGACACTGGCACAAGAAGAGACAAACAGAACAGTGGAACAAGATGGAACTCAGACACAGGCCCACCTATAATGGGAGCTTTCAGTATAGCAAAGGAGACACTACTAACCTATGGGGAAAAGGTGAACTATTTAGTAGTTGTGGGAACACACTGGCCCATTATATAAAGAAAAATAAAACATGATCCCCATCAAACACAAAGATGAATCCCAGATGAATTAAAGTAGTAAATGTGAAATTTAAAACTGTAGGAGATGTTTTAAGAGTATCTTTGATATCTCAGTATAGGGAAGACTTCTTTTAAAAAAGACACACAAACAAAAATACAGTTGATGGACTTCATTACAAAATATTAAGGATTTCTCTTCAATAAAGGAAACCAAGGAGACAGTTGCCAGAAGTCAGATTAGAGGAAAACATTTGCAATGCCTAAAACTGACAAGGGACTACTAGCAGGACTATATAAGGATCACCTGCAAATCAATAAGAAAATGATGGAAGCACATAGTACAAAAATGGACAATGAATGTGAACAGGCAATTTATAGAAAAGGAACCCCCAAGTGGCTAATCAGTCCTAATTATAGCCCCAATTATTAGTAATTAAAGAAATGCAAAATAAAACAGCATATTTCTTTATGCACATGAAATTGGCAAAAGTTAGAAAACTGGATAATGTCCAGTGTTGAAGTCCATTTAGGAGTTGCAGGACAATTAGAGTACTGACAAAGGAAGTTCAGATGAGTACAGCCATTCTGATGAGAAGATGAGCAGTGTTTAGTCAAATTAAGGAGCTGCATCTCCAACAACCCTGCAACCCCTTTCTAGGATACATACATTCCAGGGATGCAGGTCAGGCCCACATGTATATGCAGTTCCATGTGAGATACAAGCATTGCTTGCAATAGTAGAGAACCAGGAATGATCCAGGTATCCCAGGAGCAATGTAGATATGTGGATTAATATGATTTGGATATTTGTCACTTCCAAGTCTCATGTTGAAAATTGATCCCCAGTGTTGCAGGTGGGGCCTGGTGGGAGGTATTTGAATCATGGAGGAGACCCTCATGAATGGCTTTGTCCCCTCTCCGGGTAATGAGTGAGTTCTCACTCTATTAGTGCACATGAAACCTGGTTGTTAAAAAGAGGCTGGCACCTCTTTCTATGTCTCTTTCTCCCTCTATGACCATGTGATGCACTGGCTCCACTTGCCTTCCACCATGAGTAAAAGCTTCCAGAATCCCCCAACAGAAGCAGATGCTAGTGCCATGTTTCGCGTACAGCCTGCAGATCTGTGAGCCATTTAAAGCTCTTTTCTTCGTAAATTAGGTAACTTCAGATATTCCTTTATAGCAATGCAAAATGGACTAATGCATGGACATATAAAGTAAAATACTATGGAAGATTTGGAAGAAACAAACTGGATGTACAAAATTAGATCTATAATTTAATGCCATTTTGGTTAATTAAAAATACATGTACACTGGACACTACTACATATTACAGAGGATCTATGCAAATAAAAGGAAACATCAAATTCATTAAAATGTTTACCTATGAGGTAGGGGTAAGAGGTTAGATATGGGAGTAAGGACTGGAGATAAAAGGGACCAAATAAATCAAGGGAGAGAGAGAGAGCTCGGAGGCACCAATGATGATCATATAATGAACTGAGAAGTTCTTAACCTTTTGTACCTGAGGTCCAGCATGAATAACAATAATAATAATGAATTAGATGTGGTCATCTGCATGGAAGTTCACTGTCTAATGCTAAGAGAATTCCCAAAACATATAAAAATATAAAGCATGGTGAGTGTTATGATAAATAGAAACCTGTAAGATCTCTGGAGAGGCATTTTTTGTGTGAACATTGCCATGGAATGAGTCCAAGTAGAGACAGTAAGTAGTTACAGGCACCCACCACACTGTGTTGTAATTATGTATAGAAATATAGATCTGACTCCATTATTTGGCAATGGACTCTGGAGAATTTGAACTTGGTCTTTTCCTTCACAAAATAGGGTGAATAGGACAGTGGATAAACAGTCTTGGATCCAGACTTTCTGGATTGGAAGCTAGCCCTACTACTTCATAGCTGTGGGAACTTGATCAAAGTGCTTAAAGTCTCTGTGTATGTAAAAAGATGTAAGTATCTCTCATGTGAAATAGTGAAAATAATAGTACCTACCTCAAAGACTATGTGTGAGAATAAAGTGAGTTAATAAATGTAAATCCTCAGAATAGCGCCTGACCATATTAACTACTCAGTTAGTTATCGGTGTTGTTGTTGTTATGTGGCTGAATGCTTTTAACCCATTAGAAGATCAATGAACACTTATCAGATTGAATTTTTCCTCCCTTCCTTACATTCTACAAATCCTAGGGCCTCCTCTTTACATTCCCACCTTTACAGTATTTCACAGGGTCCCCTGGGCCCGGGGGTCATGGCCAGAACGCAGAGACTTTATGATGAGGACGGTGCCCACGATGATGCCGACTAGGCCCAGCACCAGGCCCAGGGCACAGAGCACAGTCTCCGTTGTCTCAGGCATCTGGATTGGCTCTTGGGCCTCTGGGGGAAGAATGAAGAGATAGGGTCAGGAGGTGCAGTGAGGGTGGTGATGGCCTGGGATGGTTGTGGGAATTGAAGGTTATGGACCAGTTAATTGGATGTTAGGACGAGGAGAGGACTGAGACCCAGCCAGTGCGGAAAGCTGGTGCAGAGGACACCAGGTCTTTGGAATAGAGGATGCCAGGAGATTATGGAGAGAAAAGCAGTTGCATACCCCAGTGCTTGAGGAGCGGCTGGTCCAAGCCCCAGTGCTCCACCCTGCAGTCATAGAAGTCCTCTGCTGAGGGCACAAAGGTCAGGTAATGGAACTTGTGGAAGCTGTAATCTGTTCTGGGCAGGAAGAGGCTCTCAGCGACACCCTCAGTGACCAGCTCCCCGTTGCACAGCCACGTGACGTTGAGCACTGGTGGGAAGAACTTGTCAATGTGGCAGATGAGGGTGTTGGGCTGGCCCAGCTCCACAGGCTCCTTGGGAAACACGGTCACCTCAGGGGGATCTGGAAGGAGACAGCACCAGGTTAGGCCCCTCTTCTGGGATGAATCACAAAGGCTCCACCTCTTAGGGGAGGGTGGTCCTCTACCTCAGCCTTAGATTTTATGGCAGCTCTGAATCACAGAGAGGGGTATCACACCACTGACCAGCCTCACTCTGCTCACCTTTCTCTCTCCTGAGAAGAGAGGATGCAAGCCCTTGCTGTAGTGGGATCAGCCCATGGCCACTAGGGGAAGAGGATCACACAGCAGGGGGCACTTAGGCTTCCTAGTCTGAGGGTGGCAGAGAGGCCCTCTCATCCCTTCCAGTTGGGCTACAGAGGAAGAGGCAAAGATAGGGCGTACCGTTGGTGGCCTGAGTGTGGTTGGAACGCTGGATCAAGGTATTCAAGTTGTTGTTCAATATAGCAATGTTAGCCAGCCCGCCCTGAGCCTCAAAGGAAAAGGCTTGGCCAAACTCCTCCAGATGCCAGACGGTCTCCTTCTTGTCCAGATCCACATAGAACATCTCATCTTCATCAAATTCAAACATAAACTCCCCTGTTGGTCTATGCGTCTGTACAAACGCGGCATAAGTTGACACATGGTCCGCTGCATAAAGACAGTAGAGAAAAACACGACAAAATGTCAGTTTGAATATGCAAGTGGTCAAAGCTAGAGAATGAATAAAGACTTATGAATATAAAAAGGAAGAAGGTAAGAGGTCAAAGGAAGGACATATGGGGAAGAAGAAGGAGCAACACCATAAAGGAAATAATACAGAGCAGATGAGCAGTTATAAAAAGAAAGGAGCAAAGAACAAAATGAAAAGTTTATCACTGATAAGTCAAGCTGCTTCCTGGTCTTTGAAAGTCTGGGCATCCTGACCCTACACAATAGTAATAGTAACAATGACAGCTAACATTTGTTGAGCACTTACTTGTGCCAGGCATCCTTCTAAATACTTTACATATTTCACTCGCTGAATTGTCACAATAACCCTATGAAGCAAATACATATCATACATTTTACAGGTAAGGAAATGCAGGGAAGTTACATATTAATAACTTGCTAAGGTCATACGGCTACTGGCGGAACTAGTAGAGAGGTTTTCTCTCCCATTAAGATCTTAATTTTTCTATGACACAGATGTAAAATTGTTTTTAGAGTCATGGGGGTGGGGGAATGGACATTTTCTTTTTCTTATTATAGAAAAGGTAGAAAAAAATACAAAATTGAGAGGAAGAAGAAAATATCCTTCAAATTTTAGGGCTCTTGACAGTTTTAAAGTTTCTGTCTTAGTTTATGAACATGAAACTGTAGAATGTATAGCTTTGTTGATAATATTTTTCATTTGGGGCATATAAATTCAAAAGTACAGTACAGTTATTTTGGCATTTGTTCCAAACTTTTGTTTCCTTTTTAAAAATATTTCAACATTTATTTTATGTTCAGGAGTACATGTGCAGGTTTGTTGTATAGGTAAACTCATGACTTGGGGGTTTAGTGTACAGATTATTTCATCACACAGGTACTAAGCATTCTAAACTTTTCTTACATTTATATTTTGATTTTTGTTTTAGAGGCCAACTAGAAATTATTGCTGAGTTTGGAACACCTGTAGGATTTAATTTATTTTGTTTCTTAGTCTTTATTAGTTTGTAAGAATTAGCAAAGATAAGAGGATAAAAGCAACTATTATCATGAAAGAAAACGATGAATGTGTATGTGAAAGTCTGGGTTTAGAATGATAAATGCATCAGAGTGAGAAGGAACTACGGGACTCTTCTGCTCTCACCTCCCAACTCACAGATTTCCCTGTGAGTTTTCAGCCCTGACATGTGGGGACCCAGTCTGTGCTTGGCCACTTACAGTGACAGGAGAATGACTCCTTGCCACTGTAATTGTAAGTGTCTAGAGGGTATGACCTGTGTCTTATTTTTCACTGAGAATGACTCCCTGACACAGTAAGTGGCCAAGCAAAGAGTGGTATTTGAAACTAAACAAAACAAATCCTATAGGTATTTCACTAGGAAACTTAGCTTGCTCCTCAGTTTAAAGGACTCAAAGGACTCATCAGGAAAAAGAGGGTAAAATAAAAAGACACAAAGTCCTCTAGCAGTTATTGGAAACTCATCTTCTTAATACATGAATGTCCCTTGTACTTTTTAAAATGCTTTTTAAAAAACACTTTCACAAGTTCTGCAGTCCAAAGATCAGCCAGCTATGGAACAGATTATTTTTCTTCAAAATATCATTTCCATTCAGACAAAAATATGTATTAAAAGACTACTATATGTCAAACACTGTTAGATGCTAAATACCCAAATAAAAATAATACATACGTCCTGTTCTGCAGACGCGTATAAGTCACAGAAGGAAACACAAGTGACAGGACAACAGCAGGTTCAGAAGGATAAGTGCAGATACGTAGGTATACACAAGATGCGACCAAACAGCACATCAGGGAAGGCTTCCTGGGGTACAGATGGCTTCAATGTAGGCATTCAGAAAACAGGGCAAAAGCCACTTCTCTCAGGGAAGACAGCCTGACCGGGAGAAGATACTGAGTTTACTGTGGGGCTATTGCACTTAGAAGACCTGAAAGTCATCTAAGGAGAAATAATACATAGATATTTGTGGATTATGGGTGGTCTCAGGAGAGGAATTTAGGCCATAGAACTGAGAGTCATTAGTGGCAGGTGCAGGTTAAATAAGATTTTCCAGGAAGAGTGCCAAAAATCAGAATTGCCGAGATCTCAGGGTATAATGAGAGAACATGATAGTTAAGAGGTGGTTTAAAAGATGATAAGGAGGATCCAGGTAAACAGGAGAAAAATAAGGACAGGGTAGTTCATCAGAAAGAAGTGGATTATAGTGCAAATGTTATTAGTAACTCAAGTCAGAGGCACTGAGAAGAACCCACTGAATTTGACCTTCTGTAGAGGTTCCTGATGGCCAAGATGAGAGGATCCTCAGGGATGTACCAGAGACAAGTCAGAAGCTTAGCTCCACGTGTGAGGACACAAAGAAAGTGTCTCTGGGACAGGATGCAGACTGAAGGCAAGGTTGTTTTTTATCAGTTGGTTTGCACTTATGTTTTTAAGGTAAATGACATGTTTAAATGTTAAGAGACTGGGCAGGGAAGCCCTGAAGAGACAGCTGAGCTCATTAGGAATTTCTACCAAGAATACTAAAAAGTATTTGCATCTATGAAGAGAAGCCTATTGTGGTGTTTATTATAACATAACATTAGAAATAACTCAGGTGACCGCGAACAGGGCAATAGATACTTCTGGTTCTACCCAGCCTGACCTCCTCTTTATTCTACACATCTTAAATAAAACTGTCTGAAGCCAGTGTGCATCTTGTACGTTATGGATTCTAACCTTCCCCATCACTAGATTTTGGAATGACAGCATCATGCACAGGCTTGATGTCATTCTCCCTGATTTCAGCTACAGGAAAAAGGAGCATTCACTACGGTCCATCTCTGGCTGAGTCCTTGCAGCTATCAAAAGTCTAGGCCTCCCTTGCAGTCCTGAATCTCTCAGAACCCGAATCACAAGGCTATCAAGACCATGCAACCCTGCTGTCTTGAGAGAGGAAAGCTTGTGACCACCCACAAAGACCCAGGAAGAGCCCTAGGGTCCTAGAAGAGAGGGAGGATACAGAAACACTCTTTGCACTTCGTCTCCTAATGCAGAGTCCATAGCTCGGAGTTCCTGTAAAGCAGCCACAAAAGATAGAGGCTGGGGATCCCAGAGAGATAGGAGGGCCCTGATAGTAGGTCACTGTGTGCAGGAATCTGGGGAAGGCAGTGTATGACCCTCAGAGCTGGGTCTGGACTTCAAACTTGGCTCGTTGATCTGCTGTGTAACCTTGGAAAACTTATTCATCTTTTTGAGCTTCAGTTTTTTCAAAATAATTTCTAAATAAAAGGAATAATTTCTAAATGAATGGAATATTATCTTCATTGAAGATTCCTGTGAGATGTAAATGGGGAAAGAAACTATGCAGGAGTCTCATAAATTCTGGCTGTTATTGCTGTTATTATTATGAGGGCCAGAGGGAACATAGACTATGAGGACCAGATAGATCAATGAGCCCCTAAAATCTGTGATCCCTGAAGCAGCAATCACTCACCCCGACGCTCCTGCGTCCTCCTGAGCACTCACCCTTGATGGCCCCAGCTCCTCGGAGACTCAGCAGGAAAGCCAAGGAGAGGGCTCTCAAGATCACAGCTCTGATATGGAACATTCTGTCTTCAGGGCGCATGTTGTGGGGTCTATAATTGATGACTGTGAGCACAGGAACAGTGATGAGGAACTGAGGCCGAGTGGAGGCAGATGAGACTGAAACTGTGGGCCTCTAGCACTGGAAATGGGTGGAGAGGAATCAGCATGGCTGGGATTCACCTATCAGAGAAATCATAGAGCTGACATTCTCTGTTGCTGGGTAAAGAGGACGCTGGAAGGTGCTGGGGAAGAGATGGGAGAATTTTAGGTACCAGCGTGGTCAAGAGAGCTCCAGTTCACAGTTCATTTTCAGAGTTAGAGAAAGAGATGTAAAAAGATAAGTTACACCTTCTTCTGACGGCAAATGTTTTCCATTATGTTCCTTCTCCCGAGCCCCACCCCCATCCCAGACAGTCAGATGATCTTTGATGTTTTTTGGTCACTATATTTTAAATCATGTTTTATGTTATGTTGTCAATATTTTACAAAAATATTCTGCTGATAATTAAGAATGAATGTGCTATCTAATAAAATATATAATTAATCTTTCTTTCAGGTCCACCTCCCTGAGATACCTCCTTTTTATTTAATCATTTCTGCAGAAGTGTTATAATTTCTATTTAGAGGTTTTAATTAACTTGAATGAAGTTGATCTTTAATTGTTTATCTATTCCTGGTTACCTTTGTTAGTGAAATTTCTAGATAATTTTTATTTTTCAGATTTCTTAGTATTTGATTTTTCCTGGTATTTAAACAGTGTAATAACATTTTTATCTTTAAATTACTAGTCTTGTTATTTCATTTTCATATAAGAATACCCAGGACAGCATTACCTGTGGTAACAATGTGCGCCCATATTTTGATCTTGTTTTTAAGAAGGGTTTCTCTAATGTTTTTCTGTTACAGGTAATGTTAATTTTTTATTTTATATTCTCTTTACCATATTTAAGAAATACTTTTCTAGTCTCATTTTAAATATTTCAATTTTGAGCTATTTATTTGATACTCATAGAGAAGGTCACAAAACATTTACTATTTAATGTAATGATGAAGTACATATATTACGTTAATATTTTATCTTATTTGTGGTAGCCTTACCTTGCATAAATAATAATTACTAACAGATTAGGACATGAGAGATTCTGTTATTAGTGCTTTGCATGCATTACCTCATTTAAACCTCATATTAAACCTGAGGGAGGTATTATTAATGTCTACTGTAAAAATAAATTACCTGAGACATCGAGGAAGTATTTGTCTAATTATCTATGGCAGGTAAATGACAAGGAGAAAAGTCCCACCCAGGCAGTTACTAAAAAAACTGAGTTTTTCTCCACAATCCTCTCCTGGCCCCTTAATCCTACTAGACACCTTCTACTACATAATTATTTTCTTCTCTTGCATTTTACATGCTAGCCTTCTATTTACATTTTAATATTGATTTAAAGAAATGATGCCAATTTGATTTTTTTTGAAATTAGAATTGGTGGTCCAACAGGATCACATTTATAAGTGTCTAAAGTAAGAAGTAATGTTCTTTGAAAGTTTGTAAAAATATTCACTCTAAACAAAATAGAATCAGATGCTTTGAAGGAGGTGGGGTCTTTGATGATTTTTTTTCACTTTCTTCCTTATTTACCAGTCAATTTATATTCTCTATGGACTTTATTTTTCCAAAGCAATTTCAGACCTATTGATCTCATTTGATCTTAAGAGCTTTGCTATAAGGCAGGTTATATCATCCCCATATTGAAGACAAGGAATCGAAGTCCAAGAGAGGCAGTGTCGTTAAAGCTGCATATTTACATGGTAGGGTAGGTGGTGTGTCCACGCTCCCAGTGTAAGGTCCCTAGACTGAGCCCTCCTGACCCTGATGACAGTCCTGTGGAAGAACCTGGTAACTCCTGCACATCGCAGGACTCACAGACCTCTGGGAGAAAGTAAATATGAATGGGTGCTAATCTTAAACACACCCTTGGACAAAGGCAAGACAGACAGACTCAGACCTCATTTGAGTTCTGAGATGGGTACTCTAATCCCTCTAAGTCATGCCACTGAATGACCTTTTACACACTAAGATAGCACTTTTTCCACAACAGACCATGTCCTGTGGGTGTGTGAGGTGTGGCAGAATTGGGGAAATGATAATCCCTGTAGATGGGCCAGCAGAATATTTGAGATCACCTTCAGAGCAAAGAAAACGCATAATCTCCCCAAACATCATGACTTATCTGACTGGTTAAAATGAGTATCACTGTCTTTCCTCCGTCATCTTAAGTGCATCACAGGCTTTATATTTTCAGACCTTTCATACTAACTTTCTGCCTAGTGAGCAATGACTCATACAAAGCTCAGTGTCCATTGGTTCTTTTCTCAGACTCTGTCCAATCCCAGGGTCACAGAAGACTACTTGGGTTCATGGTCTCTAATATTTCAAACAGGAGCTCCCTTTAGCGAGTCCTTCTTTTCCTGACTGCAGCTCTTTTCATTTTGCCATCCTTTTCCAGCTCCATGATGGTTCTGCAGGTTTCTGCGGCCCCCCGGACAGTGGCTCTGACGGCGTTACTGATGGTGCTGCTCACATCTGTGGTCCAGGGCAGGGCCACTCCAGGTAAGAGCCGAACTGCCATTCTTGGAGGGTCTGGCTCAGGGAACAATTCCTAGGGGACGTTATCTTTAAGGGATCAAATTCTGAGACAGGCTGCGGGGGCTCCTGCCCTAAGGCAGTGTCCTCTCTTCCCAGCTAGAGAAAGAGGTTCATCCCCTATAGGATAGCTTGCTACCCTACTGGCCTATTCTCTCTCCAAGGACATGGGTACAGTAAACAGAGAGAGGTGCCCAGTGGTCAGTATGCTTGTCTTTGGGGAAAATGGGACCAAGAGGTCCTGGATAACCTTGGACAGACAAGGTTTGCAGAGAGAGAAGTTGGCAAGTGCAGGCTCCTGGGCGTGTTCATGTCTGCATCCAGCCTGGAGGGGACTCAGGCAGAGAGCCCTAAGCTGGAGTGTCCAGGCTCTGAGGATCACTGAGGATTCAGTGCTCACGAAGAATGCCTCTTATTCCCCAGGGTGGAGCAGGAGCCCACATCCCTTGGACAATTAAGGAGAGAAGGGAGGGAGGGGGATAGGTTTTAGCCCCTGAAGGCATTCTCATTAAAGGTACTTCTCCCAGCCTCCCCAGAACTTGGTTAGGGTACTAGAGTGGGTTGCGACTTGTAGGAAGAATGAGATGAGGTTGTGTGGGTGCATGACAGGGATTGAGTGTAGGTTATCAGACAGCCAAGGAAGCAGTAACCAAGTGAAAAATCTCTTCTTCCTGCTGCCTCCCTGTGGCTGGTGTAATATTATGGCATCTATGATCCATTGTTTTTCTCTCAGGATACTCTCAGGATATTTCTTTTTATATATATATATACTTTAAGTTCTAGGGTACATGTGCACAACGTGCAGGTTTGTTACATATGTATACATGTGCCATGTTGGTGTGCTGCACCCATTAACTCGTCATTTACATTAGGTATATTTCCTAATGCTATCCCTCCCCCCTCCCCCCACCCCACAACAGGCCCCGGTGTATGATGTTCCCCTTCCTGTGTCCATGTGTTCTCATTGTTCAGTTCCCACCTATGAGTGAGAACATGTGGTCTTTGGTTTTCTGTCCTTGCAATAGTTTGCTGTGAATGATGGTTTCCAGCTTCCTCCATGTCCCTACAAAGGACATGAACTCATCCTTTTTTATGGCTGCACAGTATTCCATGGTGTATATGTGTGCATTTTCTTAATCCAGTCTATCACTGATGGACAGTTGGGTTGGTTCCAAGTCTTTGCTATTGTGAATAGTGCCGCTATAAACATATGTGTGCATGTGTCTTTATAGCAGCATGATTTATAATCCTTTGGGTATATACCCAGTAATGGGATGGCTGGGTCAAATGGTATTTCTAGTTCTAGATCCTTGAGGAATTGCCACAATGTCTTGAGATACCATCTCACACCAGTTAAAATGGCGATCATTAAAAAGTCAGGAAACAACAGGTGCTGGAGAGGATGTGGAGAAATAGGAACACTTTTACTCTGTTGGTGGGACTGTAAACTAGTTCAACCATTGTACTCTCAGGACATTTCTAGTCCAAATTTACACCAACACTCTGAGAGGAAGGACTGCAAAGTAGGTACCTTAGTTTTCCACTGACTTCCACTTTTCCTGCTTACACCCTTCCTCCTAGACCTCTCCACACCCCTCCTAGGACACACCTAAAAGGTACTGACATCATGTCACCTCCTCATCTTTCAGGGTAGCAAGGTTGGAATCTCCTGAATACAGCCCCTCAAGCCCTAAAACCTCTTATCTATTACCTTGGGTTCATTGTCCAGGAAGGGGAGGAGAACTTGAACTTGTAGTCACAGAAGGGTGCTGAGAACTAACCAGCAGGACGGCTCAGCCCTGGGAACTGCAGAGGGGTGAGGCTGGGGAGAGAGGAGGCTGGAGCAGCACTGGTGACACTGAACAGTGTCAGGAGGAAGTGACGGATGCAGCGCCCCCATCCCATAGGCAGAGCTGTCATGTGGGATGAGGGACAGTGTTGGGAGCCACCAAGGAAACCCAGAGGTGGGGGAGCAGAGAGCAGAAGGGAGCATGTGATGCTGGACAGTGAAAGGGAGGACAGGCAAAGGCTGGGTTGAGGTTTGTAGGGGGAATGAGATGAGGCAGTGGAGCCATGTGACAGGGACTGAGGGTAGATTACTGGAGCTCCCTGCGTAGAATGAATGTTCAATCAAAATTTGCTGGAGGGAGAGCTGGAGCCATAGGGGAGTGGGTAAAGTGGGCAGGGCTGATTCCACAATTCCCTGCATGCTCCCCCAACTCCACACACATCCCCAACCTCAAACAGGGCACAAGACCAAAGGGCTGAGGAGCCAGGCTATAGCTTAAAGAGGCTGGGGGAGAAAAGCTTGGCTGAGACAACCCATAGGGAGCTAGAGGTTTTTAATATATCCTATTCTGAATAAGAGACGAATTCATTCAGATCAGTGGTTTCAAACCGTGCTCTGGGCAACTCAATTGCTAAGGGTTCCACAAACAGGATAAAGTTTCTTATATACAAAAAAAAATGAAGGTTTCAAATTACACCATAAAACCCCTCATTGCTTATGTCTACTTGGCAGGTAAAATTCCATTTCAAAAGTTAAATGTACTTAAAAAATTACCTAAGACTGGGTAAATTAAAAAAATTAAATGTTGCAAAGAAAAAATTCAAAATTCTTATTCTTGAATGAAAAACGTTCTCTTACTGGTGATTGAGGAGGAGAAACAAAGACTAACAAATGAAAATGGGAGAATCCACACTCAGAGTGGGGCAACTGAACAGGCAGGGGCGGATGGATGGCAGAGGAGGAGGAATCTGGACTCAAGGAGCTGGGGGGCTCTGGGCCTGGAATTTTAGGGTCTGGGGCCCAAGGCACCAGGAGAAGAGGCAGGTCAGGATATCTGAGTCAAGACCTGGGATCTTGCCTTAGCAATGACACTGGAGACTAAAGGTGGACTCCATGGTGCCCTTGAGCCCAGCCCTACCCCATCTCCACTATCCTCTGCCACCAGCTGTGCAACTTCTGCTGGGGGTGAGGTTAATAAACTGGAGAAGTTAATTTGTGGAGCATGAAACAGATGAGCAGAACAATCACAGCACCTTAATTTCCCCAGTGTGCCCAAGAACAGAGCAGGCCTGAAGATACTCAAACAGAAACAAACATGTGCCGTGTCACTGATAATTCTGTGTAGACACACACCTGCCAGACACTGCTCATGGCACTCCCTAGGAAGAACAGCATGTGGGAAAGGCTGCCAAAATTGTTCATGTAAAAATTACATCAATGCTGTCTTCCTCGGTGCTGCCTATGCAGCTGGCAGCCATCTCTTCCTCCACATCATGGCCTCCCTCAGACTCCTCATGAAGGATAAGATCCTCAAAAAGAGGACCAACAAGTTCATGAGGCACCAATCAGACTGAAATGTCAAAATTAAGCATAACTGGCGGAAACCCAGAGGTCTTAACAGTAGGGTTCGTAGAAGGTCCAAGGGCCAGATCTTGATGCCCAACATTGCTTATGGGAGCAACAACAACAACAAAAAAAACATGCTGCCCAGTGGCTTCCAGAAGTTTCTGGTCCACAGCCTCAAGGAGCTGAAAGTGCTGCTGATGTGCAACAAATCTTACTGTGCTGAGATCGCTCACAAAATTTCCTCCAGAACTGCAAAGTCATCATGGAAAGAGTCACCCAGCCGGCCATCAGAGTCACCAACCCCAGTACCAGGGTGCACAGCTAAGAAAATGAGTAGAAAGTTCATGTCCACGTTTTGTGTGTAAATAAAACCATAAAAACTGCCAAAAAAAATTACATCAATGCCTCTAAACCCAAAGGACTCTACCCCCACAGGTCCCTGGTTGTTGTGGTGATTTTCATTGTGTAAAATACTTTCCACATCTTTTGACACCAAGTCTTTCTGCAGCCATGTTTGAAAATTAACTTTCAGGCTACAGAGTCTTTCTTATACCAAAGTTGAAGAAAGTTTTAAGAAATATATTTCTACATCTCCTACATGCAAAACAACAGGAGCAAGTTGAGGAATTCTCAAGAAACTGGTCGAGAAGAGAGAGCGCTTAGCTATGGAAAAGAGAAAGAAGGAAGGGAGGGCTTCCTGGAGGAGGTGGCATTTGAACCAGGACTGACATCAGGATGGAAATGTCAGTCAGGGAGTTAAGTAGGGGGAGCAGCTCCGCCCTCCACGTCCCCAGCTCCTCCCGCCCCTGTTTTTTCTCCCAGTGACCCCACGTGAAACGTCTCCGCCTCCTCCAGCCACCAGCAGAAGGGACTGCCTTCCCCTCAGTGCTCGCCCCTCCCTAGTGATCACTCAGTGCCCCTGAGCTCATTCTTTTCAGTAAATTCTCTCTCTGCGTGGTGAGAAAACAGGCCTGGAGAGGCTCTGCGACCCGCTTAGGACCACAGAACTCGGTACTAGGAAAACTCCTATTTTAAAATCCAGCCCTGGGTGGGAAGATTTGGGAAGAATCGTTAATATTGAGAGAGAGAGGGAGAAAGAGGATTAGATGAGAGTGGCGCCTCCGCTCATGTCCGCCCCCTCCCCGCAGAGAATTACCTTTTCCAGGGACGGCAGGAATGCTACGCGTTTAATGGGACACAGCGCTTCCTGGAGAGATACATCTACAACCGGGAGGAGTTCGTGCGCTTCGACAGCGACGTGGGGGAGTTCCGGGCGGTGACGGAGCTGGGGCGGCCTGATGAGGAGTACTGGAACAGCCAGAAGGACATCCTGGAGGAGAAGCGGGCAGTGCCGGACAGGATGTGCAGACACAACTACGAGCTGGGCGGGCCCATGACCCTGCAGCGCCGAGGTGAGTGAGGGCTTTGGGCCGGCGGTCCCAGGGCAGCCCCGCGGGCCCGTGCCCAGGGCGCAGGAGCAGCCGGGTTGGCCTAAGGGACCTTAGTGCCGGGCGGAAAGGGGACTTTGGGTTGGGGATTCATGGGGGGAGCCCATCTGGAGCTTGTCAGGGGAGCGAGCGCGGGGACCTGGACTGGGCTGAGCATGGAGTGAGGAGGACGAGAGCAGAGAGACCCCCGGGACTTCATCAGGCCTGGCAGCTGACTGCATGTGGGGTGAAAAAAGGAAGCCACAGGACAGCGCACAAGGGTATGGTGTGGAGATGGAGGTGGAGATGGCACAGCAGGCCACACAGAGAAGAAACCTACAGGGAGGTAGCTGGGTTTGAGGTGCTTGAGGGGCAGATGGGTGGTCTGATGGGCAGGTAGACAGAAGGGTCTGCAGCCGGGGAGGAGACTGAGATACATGAGACCATCCAGGGAGAGGGGACCCAGGGGGAAGAGCAAAGGACCGGATCCTGGGAACTGGACAGTTGTGATTTGGCCAAGACAGAAAAGCCTGTGAAAGAGACCAAAAAAACCCAAGTGCAGTGTGAGGAGAGGCCCGCAGAGAAGAGTCTTGGAAGCTGAGGGGAGGTGACCTCAGCAGCACAGTGGACAGCGGTGCCAGTGACTTGGGAAGGTCAGAAAACAGAAGATGGAAAGTGGGTTTGGAAACCAGGGAGACCTGGGGAGAGCAGGTTGGCCGCAGCGGCAGGAGCTGGAATGGGAGGGGGTGCATGAGGCTGAGTGTGGCGCATCCTCCTCGGGGCTGAGATGGATTTTACTTGTCTTGGGTTCCCCACGGCTGTCACAGGGCAGTGTCTCAGTTCATTCGTCTTTTTCCTTCAGGAAGTCTGGGTGTAAAGGGATGGAGAGAGGTGAGGTGTGTGCAGTAAGAGGATTTCTCAAGGATGGGACAGGAAGGCCTTGGAGCTTTGGCTTCCTCCTGTGAACTTGTGGGGTGGGGAGCCTGGTGCACCAACCTGAGGGACTTGAGGGAGTAGTATCAGGATGTGGGATTGAGCCCTGGACCTTTTTTCTAGAAAGAGGAAAAAAATGAAGGGAGGAGGAGGAGGAAGCTGGGGAGATCACACCTTTGATTTTCTTGTTCCTGGAAAGTGAAAGGAAGTTCACCTGCTATGAGTGAGAAGGTGGACACACTGGGTGGGGATGAGGTGAGTGACATGAGCTTAGGAAAGTTGCTGAGGTAATTGGTTGAGAGAGGTGTTCAAATAAAAATAACGCAATTGGCAAAAACTGTTACTAAGACTTTGTAGAGGCACCAATCAGTGACATGGCAGCATTTTCTTTCACAGTAATCAACTGCCAGATTGCAGACAGCCCTGATGCCAGCCTAAGGAGTGTGGGTTTCTCCTCCAGGCCCGCAGGTCCCCAACCTCACTCCTCTGAAGACTCTTCTGGAGATCCTCTGTGATGCACAGATCTCCAGACTCAGTGCCCCCAGACTCAGATTCCCTGGGTGGGGAGGTCTGGGGATCTCTGCTTGTAATCAGCTCCCTAGAGGTTCCCATGTAGCCAGATAAGTATTGTCAGAACACTGAAGATTTTTGAAAAATGAAAAAGAGAAGGTTGGAGATGTGTCTTCAGAAGATTACTAAGGGTGCTGGCTAGAGGAGGGACCAGAGGCAGGGAGATGAGGTAGGAAACTGCTATTATTTGTCAGGGAAATTGCAATCAAGGCATGAGTTAGAACAGGGAAAACACAGAGGCAAGGGAGAGGTGGAAGGGGGAGGAAAGAAGTAGTGACAATTCCAGGGTGGATGTCCACCCAAATCTAGAAGTAATTGAGCAAATGTTTTCTGGGCATTAGAGAAGGCAACTAGAACAAACAGGAATCCTTGCCTTGGTGAAATGTATTTGAACTGGGTCAGAAATGAGGCCATTGGGTATCAGGCCTTAACTCCAGCGCACCCTGGAGGTCACTGATGTGGCTCCAGGCTGACCTGCTCCTGTCAAAGAATATTGAGCAAGATGCCTCTCGTGGAATGTTCTGGGACCTTAAAACAGATACCCAAGTATTCCCCCTGATTTCATGGTTCCCAGAAGCTCTATGGGGAAGAAATTGTAGGTAATTCACAACTGAGATTTAGACATAAGTTGAATAGTGTAATGGACATTGAGTTAACCGAGGTAATGAAGTAGTGAGACACAGGTGCCCCTGAAATAAACTCACATTGAGGGAAGAGGCTGACAATGTGGATCAGTCTGAAAACAAGGCAAAAATACAATAGGGAGTAAGGGTTGTGTGTCAGTTCAAGACTGTACTTTTACCTGGCCCAGCGCCATGTTAGGGTATTTGTGTTCTCCAGGAAGTAGAAAGGAAAGAACTGAGTGATTAGGGACCTAGAAGACTAATTTGAGACATTCCTCTTGATGAGCTGTTCTCTAGGGTAGTCCTCTGAAAGAGCTGTTCTCTAGTGGATCTCCCTGAATGAACTGTTCTCTAGGAGCACTTGACCCTTTTCTGTGTTTGTTTTTTGTTTTGTGTTTGTGTTTGTTTTTGAGACAGGTTCTCACTTTGTCTCCCAGGCTGGAGTGCTGTGGCACCATCATGGCTCACTGCAGCCTCAACCTCCTGGGCTCAAGTGATCCTCCTGCCTCAGCCTCCCATGTAGCTAGAACTACAGATACACGTACCACCATGTCTGGCTAATTTATTTTTCTTTTTAGAGATGGGTTCTCACTATGTTGCCCAGGCCGGTCTCAAAACCCTGGGCTCAAGTGATCCTCATGCCTCAACCTCCCAAAGTGCTAAGATTATAGGCATGACCACCATGCCTGGCCTTTTCTGCTTTCTGAGGAGGAAAAAGGTACTGGTGGCAGAGATCCAAAAGAAAAGTTGCCAGTGGCAGTGTGGAAATTCACCTGAGAACAACAGGACAAGCTGGGGCACAAATGCAAAGATGCAGAGGGAGGCAACACCTGGTCATCTGTGAGACCTTCATGGGACCTGAAGACGCAGCACAGAGGAGGAACTTGAAAAAGGACGGGATTTCTACTACTCAAGCATGTAGGAGCTCAGGATATTCTGTAAATATGAAGATTTTGAGTTTTTGTAGGTGAGGTAAAAAAATACATAGGTTTTTTACAGAATAAGACATGTAAAGCTCTCTTCATTTTCTTTGTATTTTCATGAAGTTATTAGATTCACAGGCCACCATAATGCCATTGTCTGTATATCTTAATTTCAAGATATTATTTGAGTAAATTTTGCTTCCTTTGTATCAAGATAGAACTTTGAAAAGGTAGGTAATTTCACAGTTGATCAAATATTCTTTGCCCAAATTACTTTTGGTTAAAATTTCTCCTAAATGTGCTACAGAGTGCAAACTCTGTCTCCCTGCCATTCCGCTATATACTTACTAACTATTATTTTATTCAAGATCATGCATGCTCTACTTGAAGGTCTATTTCTATCTTTTCAATGCTACCCTTACCCACTAGCCTAATCACATTATTCCTATTTTCAACATCTAGGAATCAATTACATAGTGAACATGCCTAAGAAATAATAATCTGGGCAGATGCAGTGGCTCAGGCCCGTAATCCCAGCCCTTTGAGAGGCCGAGCGGGTGGATCACTTGAGGTCAGGCGTTGGTCAAGTGCTCCTAGAGAACCAGGCTGACCAACATGGAGAAACCTTGTCTCTACTAATAATACAAAAATTAGCCAGGTGAAGTGGCAGGCACCTATAATCCCAGCTATTCGGGAGGCTGAGGAAGGAGAATTGGTTGAAGCCCGGAGGTGGAGGTTGCAGTGAGCCAATATTGCGCCACTGCATTCCAGACTTGGCAACAGAGTGACACTCCATCTCAACAAAAAGAAAGAATGAAAGAAAGAAAGAGCGAGATTATGTCTCAAAAAAAAGGAAGGAAGGAAGGAAGGAAGGAAGGAAGGAAAGAAGGACAATCTCAAATTCTATTTCATTATTTTTCTTCCACGCTCCTAGTCCAGCCTAGGGTGAATGTTTCCCCCTCCAAGAAGGGGCCCTTGCAGCACCACAACCTGCTTGTCTGCCACGTGACGGATTTCTACCCAGGCAGCATTCAAGTCCGATGGTTCCTGAATGGACAGGAGGAAACAGCTGGGGTCGTGTCCACCAACCTGATCCGTAATGGAGACTGGACCTTCCAGATCCTGGTGATGCTGGAAATGACCCCCCAGCAGGGAGATGTCTACACCTGCCAAGTGGAGCACACCAGCATGGATAGTCCTGTCACCGTGGAGTGGAGTGAGTCTCTGATGACCCTCTAGACCCCACCTCTGAAGAGCAGGGGACTCTCTGGCTCTGGGGTCCACTCATCTTATCTTCTGCATCTATACCCTGGGGCCATGTCCAAACCCCATCTTTCTTCTATACCAGCTCCTGAGCATAGTTTGAAGCCAGGGAAATGGAGACTTCCTGACCTTGGCTTAGGGGTTCCTGAAGATTCATAGTTCTCCCCCTTGTCAGAGAATCTAGGGACACTGACTGGTCTCGAAACCCTCACACTTAGGAACTGACCTCACACATAGGAACAGTTCTCTTCCTTCAGCATTTTAGCCTCTTCTCAGGCATTTTGAGAGGCAACTTCCAGAATCAGCATTTGCCACCTTGTTGAGGTCACACCCCTGTTCCAGATATGAGGGTGGCTCTTTCTGAATTTCCTCTTAGCAAGCTTTTTCCGCTGCACTGTCCTCATCCCGATATGCTGCATCAGGCTCCAGAATCTCAGACAGGACATGAGTAGGGATGCAGCTGGTGGAGGTGACACTAAACCTGGGTCTGTCCTTCCCAGAGGCACAGTCTGATTCTGCCCGGAGTAAGACATTGACGGGAGCTGGGGGCTTCGTGCTGGGGCTCATCATCTGTGGAGTGGGCATCTTCATGCACAGGAGGAGCAAGAAAGGTGAGAAAGCCTGCAGGGTGAGCGGGACTTACCTTCCCCTGGCATATTCACACTTATTCCACGATGAGGGGTTTGACAGAAAAGAAATGTCAGAAAGCTCTAGAGGCCACTGATATCAGATAATCGGGGAACAAACATGACCTATAGCGAGAGAGGGATCCCAGGCTGGGATCTTAATGCAGCCAGATGCATGAGGTCCCAAGTACTCAGGCTCCTGCGGAGCGTCCATTGAGTGATGGGCAATGGAATTTGGTGGGATGGAAATGTTTCTCTAATTATCTGAGGTGGTTTCAATGGCTGATTATATAACCTTTCGTCTTTCATTTCAGTTCAACGAGGATCTGCATAAACAGGTAATATTCCTGCTTTGATTTCCTTGTGGGGTGGGTTGCAGGAGGATATGAGTCCTTTCTGTGCATTGTAACACTGAGGCTCCTCCAGGAAGGGAATCTCAGGCATGAACCCCTCTTTCAATGTCAGCCTTCAGGCAAGTGGGGAAAGAGCATTGCTTGGCTCCATTGCTGAAGGAAGCAGAGATCAACTCTGTTATTTATCAGCCTGAGACGCATCCTCTCACCATAATTTTTCTCTCCTGGACTTACAGGAAGGAGGCTGGCAACCTGGGATAACTTGTCTTTTACCCCCACAGGGTTCCTGAGCTCACTGAAAAGACTATTGTGCCTTAGGAAAAGCATTTGCTGTGTTTCGTTAGCATCTGGCTCCAGGACAGACCTTCAACTTCCAAATTGGATACTGCTGCCAAGAAGTTGCTCTGAAGTCAGTTTCTATCATTCTGCTCTTTGATTCAAAGCACTGTTTCTCTCACTGGGCCTCCAACCATGTTCCCTTCTTCTTAGCACCACAAATAATCAAAACCCAACATGACTGTTTGTTTTCCTTTAAAAATATGCACCAAATCATCTCTCATCACTTTTCTCTGAGGGTTTTAGTAGACAGTAGGAGTTAATAAAGAAGTTCATTTTGGTTTAAACATAGGAAAGAAGAGAACCATGAAAATGGGGATATGTTAACTATTGTATAATGGGGCCTGTTACACATGACACTCTTCTGAATTGACTGTATTTCAGTGAGCTGCCCCCAAATCAAGTTTAGTGCCCTCATCCATTTATGTCTCAGACCACTATTCTTAACTATTCAATGGTGAGCAGACTGCAAATCTGCCTGATAGGACCCATATTCCCACAGCACTAATTCAACATATACCTTACTGAGAGCATGTTTTATCATTACCATTAAGAAGTTAAATGAACATCAGAATTTAAAATCATAAATATAATCTAATACACTTTAACCATTTTCTTTGTGTGCCATCACAAATACTCCTTAACCAAATACGGCTTGGACTTTTGAATGCATCCAATAGACGTCATTTGTCGTCTAAGTCTGCATTCATCCACCAGCCTAGGCCTCCTGTCTTAATTTTCATACAGACAGAAATGACTCCCCACTGGGGAAAGAGCAAAGCAATACATGTAGCACTCTTTTTCAAACACTGGTCTTTTTTTTTTTCTTAACAATCCAACATTGTTATGTGTTTTGCGTCTCATATTGACACCTTTTGGTCAAGGTAGAGGACATGTTTGTTGTAAGCTTTCTTTTTCGTGTAGAGGATGGATTCTTCACTCCTGATACACACAATCAGTGCACAGCAGCTCTCTTATACATCCAGTTGATGCCTTCAGTCTCCCTGGCTTCTTACAAGCATCTTCTGGGCCTTGTGTGTCCCTGGGCACCTGTCCCTGGTCAATTCCCGAAAGCTACTGTGCTCCTCTTGCCCATCTCCCCTTGCAAATAATATCTTCCATCGGGGGACCGGCTTCCTCCAATTTCAGGAGAGGTGGGGCTGAAGGCACAGACTTGGGCGTCACTGGCACAGATATAAGTAAATACAGCTGGAGTCTGCAGAGAGGCTGGACTGAGTCAGGGAGTCAGGAAAGAGAAGCCACACACAAGGACAACCAATCATGTTTCTCATAATCTTCTTAACCTAGGGAATAGGACACAATCATTTTTTCTTTTTAAAACATCTTTATCCCTGATCAGCCTCATTTCCTCAAAAACTATAAAGGAAAATGCTGCTGACTTGTTTTTGCGTAGTAATTTCAGCTGTCACATAATAAGCTAAGGAAGACAGTATATAGTAAATAAGGACCCTTTATCTGTCTTATTTTCCCTTTTGGCTTCACAGGAAACTTGTGAGAAACCTATGCAGCATAAAATTAATATGATTTCAATCCAGGGATTCAACGATGGAAGGAGGTCATGAGAATAGCAGAAAGTCTTCAAATCGAGATCATTATG
Organism: Homo sapiens; assembly: GCF_000001405.40. Classification (NCBI taxonomy): domain Eukaryota; kingdom Metazoa; phylum Chordata; class Mammalia; order Primates; family Hominidae; genus Homo; species Homo sapiens. Next base: position 4,392,864 of record NT_167244.2, read on the forward strand.
AAATCCTCAGACCCAGAGCACATAAATCCTACCCTCAGAGTCACTGAGCAGTTAACATTACAAATTACAAACCATATCCAGTCAGAGTCATTCTCTTTCCTGCTTGTCTCCTGTACTCATGTTACAGGTTAGGGCAGTACCCCGAGTGGAGTGAACAATCTCTGGACTAACACTTGTCAGGATCAGAAGCTGAGGTATCTGCACCCACATTACAGGAACAGGATATGTGCTCCTAGGGAACTGAGGGTGTCAGGAGATGAGGAATGTCCCTGGAGTCACAGAAAGAAGGTATCAGATGTGTCTCACTCTGACATATGCAGGTGTTTATGAAACTCTGGGATTTCTAAGGAAGGATGCAGTGCAGAGACAGGTCCCAGAGGAGACAAGAGCTGAGAGACCATCCAAACTGGGACCACCTTGTCACTAGACTTCAAATTTTCAATATTGATAGAGTGTTTTCTAAGAGTCAGGCCCTTTGCTGAGTGCTATGTGCAGCAGGATCAAAGGCAGCCAGGAGGTAGAGGAGTCTTGAGGTACATCAGTCATTGGAGTTGAAGAGCAGAGATTCAAAGGAAAGTTGGAACTGGAGCTTTAAAGGAGATGTGAAGTGGGTGACTCAACCTCTGACTCAGAAAAATTGATACCTGCAGAAGAAAAAACCCGGCGGGCTTAGGACTCCCAGCTGAGTGTTGTATCCTCCATCCCTTTCCACCTGGTCCCTTCATTTTCTACCCCTCACAGTTCCCTAACGAGAAGGTGGTCCACCCAACAGACAACGCTGCCTCAGATGGTTATCAAGGGGTACCCTAAGAAGAAATCATCTCACCCTCTCTTTGTCCCCATTTGTCAAGTAGCAGTGAGGCCGAGCCAGGGGATGGTGAAAGTGGAAGGAGGTGGGAGTTGGGCATCGGGTGTGAAGATGCTCTTGAAAGGGGTTTTAATAACCACTTGCTACCAGGCCAGTGAACACTTACCATAGTTGATGCCTTTTGAGCATGTTGCATTGTAAACTGTCCCTGAAATTACTGTGCACTTGGCTTATGGGATGAAACATCCTCCTAGTTCTTTTGTCTCTCAGCTTCTCTGAAGTCTCATTGAGCACCTTCTCTTCAATTTCTTTTACACAGTAAGAATAGGATCAGCTGTGCTAAACTAACAAATACCCAGATATCCAGGTTTGGCTCATGTTACACGTCCAAAGTAAGTCATGCAGGAAGCTCTGCTCATCATCGTACTCAGGAAGCCAGGCTGACAGTCTTTCTCCTGCACATCTGCTCCCAGAACCTCCCCAGCAGAATGAAGGGAACCTAAGAATTTATTCACTGGCTTTTAATGATCCCTCCTAGAAAGAACACACTTCTCGCATTTCATTTTCCAATGTAAATCATATGGCTGCAACTAACTTCAAATAAGTGGGAATACTTGAAGGTGGAAAACATTTAAGAAGTACACACTAAATAAATAATAAAATACTTCTACAAGAGATATTTATGGAGGACCTACTGTGTACCAGGAGCAATGCTAGGCATTATGGATATCAGCAGCCTTTGGCTCCTGAAAAGCTTACACACTACCTCCTGGCCTAAGGAGGGGCACAGGGATGCTGGCAACAGTCTATTTCTTCACCCGGGTACTAGTTACATGGGTGCTTGCGGTGATAACCATTCAACGTACATTCTATTGGTTTGTGTGTTTCTTCCAAATGTCCCCTAGTTCACAATAGAAAGGGCTTAAATAGAGAAGTAAAGGAGAATTTGGGAATTTGAAGCAAAAGCAAGAAGCCACTGAATCAAGCACAAATATTGAGCTTTGATAAAGATTGGAATAAGAAACATAATAAATGAGACAAGAAATAGGACTTTTGCAACTGAAGTGTAATTAATAAACAAAAAGCCAAACTGAGAAACTGTCCCAAGGACAATATGATCGAGTAAACAATAGAAAATGTAAAGGACAAGTGAAGAGAAATGAAGGATAGAAACAGACATCTGACATCTTAATAATTAGACGTCTAGAAAGTCAGGGAAATAGTGGAGGAAGAGGAAATAACTGAAAACATAATAGATGTTTAGTCTTTATAGAAAGATGAAATAAGTTCATTCAAAATGCTGCATAGAATGTCAGACTGTTAAACAATTTTGTTAGAGTAAAATGACTGTAAACAAATGAGCTAATTATGTGAATTAAGAGGATGGAAAAGCAGAAAAACAGCAAAAAGAAAATACATGTAAATAATAAGGACAAAAGCTGAATTCAATGAAATATAAAAATAGAGAAGATAAAATCAAATTTTGAGGCAATGAAAACTTTAATGAGACCTCTGGCAAGACTCCTAAGGAAAATACAGGAGATTCAGAACGAAAAGGGTAAATGACATTTATACACATTTTAAAATGCAAAATCTTACGACCAACTCTATACATATAAATTTGAAAATTTAGATAAAACGGATACGTTTCTAGAAAGATATAAAGGTCAAAACTACAGGAAGAAATAGAAAACTAAAATAGAGTAGAGAATATCAAAGAAATTGTCATGGGAAGCAAAGAATCGCCTTCCAAAGGGCCCTGTCCTGATCTTATTGCAGATGAGGGCGTCCTCCCACATTTCCAGGAGCAGATCATGCCTCTTACACGTGTGATTCTAGAACATAGAATGGAACAGAATTTTTGAGATCATTTTATGAGGTTGGTTCATTTATATTTCCAGAGCCAGCTAAGAATAGTACAGGAGAACAGGATTGTGGACTAATTTTAGCCATGTCACTGAATCCAACAGTACATTATAAAAACAATACGTTTTGACCAATTTTAGATTTATTCTAGGAATGCAATGATTCTTCAGTGTCAGAAAATATATAATGTGGTTAACACATTAGTGGACTCCGCAAAATTCATATTAATTTAAACTGAATTCAGCTCAAGACATAGACAGAATTTAATCAATTTCATGACATGTTAAAGGTAGTGAACCAAAAATCTATAGCATATATATTTCAAAGAAATGAGGTGGATTGCCTTTGAGATTGTGCAAAAGATAGGATGTCCTTCGTTGCTGGAAATGTTTAACATAGCATTGGAAGTTCTGAACATCACTCTGCGGGCAGAAGAAAATTAAGGCTGTGTAAAATGTAGGAAGACAGATAGTGACTGCAGATGAAATAATCTAAATACTGGACAAGACTGCAGCCACTGCAGGCCCAAAGCCTGGGTTTAAATCCAAGCTTTGCACTTTGAAGCTGTGTGGTCTTCACCTCTCCCGGTGTCTGATTCCTGCTCTGTAACATGAAATAAATAAGAACCAACCTCCAGATGTAAATAAGTGAACACATGAGAAGCACTTAGAATAGTGCCTAGAACATAGTAAGCAACTCAATGAATGTCATTTCTCATTACATTTGTTAATGTTTTTATCCAGCCCAATGGCAGTAAAACATCAATGCTCAAAGAGCCCCTGGTGAAGTGTTTCTCTTTCCCACTCTTCACCCCTAACTTGTTACCTCGTCTTTTCCACTCTGTCCCTAATACACCTATAGGATGACTCATAGGAGCCCCTGGACCCGGGGATGCTGTCAGATCGCTTGGTCTTTGAGACAATGGTGCCATTAAGGACCCCCGCCAGGCCCACCAGCAGGCCGAGGGCACAGACCAGCATCTCCATGGTCTCAGGCACCTGGATTATTTCATGGACCTCTGGGGCACCAAGGGAAGACAGAGTTATAAGGTACAGAGAGCAGGGGCTGGCCTTGGATGTGGGAGGTGTTGGGTATTCGAAACCATGAGATGGTGAAATTTGGATAAAGTGACCATAAAACATGGGATTGAGGAAGGCAGGTGCTGAGGGGCGATGGGCCCAGGAAATAAAGGTGGTGCCAAGGCCGTGAGGGCAGAGGGAGGGCGCTCCATACCCCAGTGCCTGAGGAGAGGCTGGTGCAGGCCCCAGTGCTCCCCCTGGAGGTCACAGGTGTCCTCGGCCATGGGAACGAGGGTCAGATAGTGGAACCTGTGTAATCTGAGTTTCTTGCTGGGCAGGAAGATGGTCTCTGCAATACCCTCAATGACTGGCTCCCCATTGCGCAGCCACGTGATGTTCAGCACTGGTGGGAAGAACTTGTCAACATGGCAGACGAGGGTGTTGGGCTGGCCCAGATCCACAGGCTCCTTGGGAAAGACGCTTACCTCGGTGGGGGCTCCAAAAGGGGATAGAACCCAAGGAGCCTACTGCCATTGGCTGATTCTTAAAGGTTCCACCACCCCAAGTCCTATATTCACCAGATTAGGGGCCACCTCTCCCAGGCCCATCCTCCTGCTCCCCTAGGGCTCCTGGACAGGGTCACAGCTTCTCGTGCTCCTGACCTGGCCCCCTCAGCCCAGCCTTTCTCTTGAGTAAGAAGAAAATGCCTCCTCCTCTGCTGTCCTAAGAACCCAGCTGTGTGGACCCAAGATTTCTCGCTCTCAGGGAAGGGGCTCATTCATGAGTGGGCATCATGGCCTCTAGTTCTATGTGTGGCAGAGAGGCCCTCCCATCCCTCCAGCTGGACTCTAGAGGAACAGGCAGCTATAGGCAGTGCCATTTGTGGCCCAAGTCTGTTTGGACCATTGATCCGGGTGTTCAAGTGCTTCCTTGCCATGACGATGCCAGCAATACCCCTCTGAGAGGAACAGGCAGCTATAGGCAGTGCCATTTGTGGCCCAAGTCTGTTTGGACCATTGATCCGGGTGTTCAAGTGCTTCCTTGCCATGACGATGCCAGCAATACCCCTCTGAGCACCAAAGTCAAAGGTGTGAATAAACTCTGGTAGAGGCCAGACCATCTCCTTCTCATCCAGGTTCACGTAGAACTGCTCCTCCTCATCAAATTCAAACATATACTCCCCAGAGGGTCTGTGCGTCTGCACAAACTCCGCATATGTTGACACATGGTCTGCTGCATGAAGGAGAAGATGGAGAATGGGTGAATACGTAGGATGCTACACAGAATGCAGGAAGCAAACAGGTAACAGGAAGGTTATTGGGAACATGAAGGAATAACACAGAAAATGAGAAATGCAAATGAAAGAAAAGAAAAGGAGTGAGAAGAAACAAAGACAGAAATGACCCATGGACGATACAGGTTGTTTCCCTTGTCCCTGAAGACTTAACATCCGTCTATGATAATGGTAATGCTGAATACAGTAAGATAATATTTATTGGGCACTTACTATGTGCTAAACTTACTCATTGAATCTTCACACCCCCATGTAGAAGAACTTATTTTCCATAGTAGGGAACTGACCCCAGAGGTAAAGTAACTTGTCCAAGTCACACAACTCCTGGTAGAAACAATATTGAGTAGTCCTCCTACCTCATTCCTGTAGGATCTCAGAAACCCTACAGGACAATACATTAAAAATTACTGATATAGCCATAAAGCAAGGCAGGGAAGTGGAAGGATGGAATAAATATTTCAGAGTGGAACAAAATCGTGAAGGACATGAAAATACCTCCAGAGTCTTAGTGACATTTATAGACTTCAAGTTACATTCTTACTTTTAGAAGAAAAATGATACCTTCTATAATTTTATCCACAACACTTACATTTTAGGCAGAGTAAATTTAAAAGTATTATCATTCACATAACATTCACAAAATTGTCTTGTGGAGTGTAGTTTTCAAGTGTAGTTTCACCTGGAAATACAAGTTGTTGGCATTTGAAAGACCTATGGGATAGTATCTTAGCTTTACCTGATACATAAGAAGCAGCAACTGGTTGATAACAAAAAGTGAATTATTATTACAGTGAATTACAGAGAGTTTAGGGTTCGGCCTGGAAGAGGAAGTGAAGCCAAATGACACTGCATGGTTGGTGGTCCCTAAGTGAGGATTTCCCCTCCCAGCCCAGCATGGGGAGAACCAGTCCTCTACTTAGATGCATAGTGTGACAGCAGGTTCAGTGCCGCACACGGATGGTGAGGGTCCCCCACTGAGTTTAGGGTCTAGAGGATTACTCACCTACAGAAATGAATCCCAAAGGAAAAAGAAAAATACACGGTGTATAGACTGGGCTACACAGATGTAATTGGTTCAGCTTAGGTTACTTTGTATTTATTATATTTACAAAATCTGAAAACTAAAGGTTGGCACATTTTGAAGCAAATTCCACACTTCAAATGTTAATTTTCATTCAGTTAATAAATGCTTTTTGTGAACTTTCACTCTCTAGGTAATAAGGATGAAACTCTAAAGATGGGAACTTTGTCCTTAATCTACTTGAAATTCAAGAATAAAACAGACAAAGAAAAGATGATTGCTACATGTGTGGTTTGATCACCACTGAGTATCACAAGGTATACACAAGAGCTACTCAGGAGCAAAATTAAAATACGATTTAGGAAAGGTTCCTAGGGACAGTGTTCACCTGCAGATAGCAAAACAGAGAAAGGGGAAATGGCATTTCCAGCAGGAGAAGCAGGCTCAGGAGCAGAGAGGCATGAAGTTGCAAGGAGAACTGCAGTTCTTCAGTGTGACTGAAGCCAGGGGAGATGTGGGCCAGGCAGCACTGTAACCTGCCTTGTGTGCTGATGGCAAGTGTTTGCATTTTATCCCACAGGACATAGGAAGTTGTGAAGTATCTTAAGCAGGAGAGTAACACGGTCAGATTTGTGTTTGGATGGGGCACCTGTAGGAAGGATGGGCTGGAGGAGGCGGGACTCAAGGCAAGACCAGTAGCACTTTTAAGCCCTCTGGTGGGAAGTAATGAAGGCGTAGGCCAGGGCAGGAACATGGGGTGAGGAGGACAGCAGATGGATTTGATGGCAGTAATGACATGAGAGGCCACAGGAATCACTAAATCACATGCCAGAAGTAGGGATATGAAGAAGTCGAGAATAACCACGCAACGTGGAGAATTGTGGCATCCGTGCCTGCAAAGGTGATAATTAAGTGATTGAGAGAAGGTAAAATTTTCTGTTTGAGACATACTGAATTTAAACTTCTAGGGGAAAACATACAGTTGATTTGAAGGCAGTGAAATAAATGGATGAGTGTCATGCTACATTAGGTTAGTGACATAAACTGGAAGGAGGCTCATGGTGGGTGAAGTTCTAATTTTGGGTCAGGTCACTCAAGAAAAGTACACAAAGTCAGGATAGCAGGGATCTGAGTGTGTGCTCCTGCATCCAGACAAACACAGACATGAAGAAAGAGGCTGAAAAGCAGAGGACTAGAAATTGGTAGGAAAACAGAGAGGAAGTGGGTTCATAAAAGACAAGAGACAGGAGAAAACTTCCAGGAAAGAGGAGAGGGGGCATCTCAAACACACTAATGACACACATAAGACAGAAACAGAACAGTGACCACTGGCTTGAGTTGTATAAAAGTCATTAGTTGCCACCCTGAGAGGAGCATCAGAGATGAGGGAAAGAAAAAGAGAGAGTACATTGGGTTGAGGACTGAATGAAATGGGAGAAAATCGATAATAGGCTGGGCACAGTGGCCCATACCTGTAATCTCAGTGATTTGAGAGGCCGAGACAGGAGGATCACTTGAGGCCAGGAGTTTGAAAGCAGCCTAGGAAACATAGTGAGAGTCCATCTCTAAGAAAACAATTTTGGATTCCCTGCCTTCCATGAGCAACACAGCAAACATAAGCTCTGCAGATGTGCTCAGACTTGAGCCTGACTCACTGAAGAGAGTGTGGTGCTGCCAGGCCTCAGACACCAGATTATAATCAACCTCTTCCCAGGCCCTGCACAGGAGAGGCCCACTCTGTGGGGCATACAGTGCCCAGGGGTGGTACAGGCCCTGCAGAGACCACAGACTGTTCACCTGACAAGAAATATCTTGAGGAACTCACTTCACAGATCCCTCAAGAAAGGAACCACTGCAGGAGAATACCCAGAAAATCGAAAGAATTCACAGATCCTTTTAAAGAAGGGAGGGGCCACTGCAAACTCCACCAGACAAGTGAAAAACTGTGCGTTCCCAAAGCGTGAGAGGGGAAAAACCTGCCTCCGGACCCATGTCCCCACTGGGGAACTCGAAAATCCAGATTACAGGAAAAGGATTTAACTTTACCTAGACCTGAAACAGATTTAGCATGAAATACAAAAGTACGCCGGGCGCTGCCGCTCACACCTGTAATCCCGGCACTTTGGGAGGCCGAGGCGGGCGGATTACAAGGTCAGGAGATTGAGACCATCCTGGCTAACACGATGAAACCCCGTCTCTACTAAAAATACAAAACAATTAGCCAGGCGTGGTGGCGGGCGCCTGTAGTGCCAGCTACTAGGAAGGCTGAGGCAGGAGAATGGCATAAACCCGGAAGGCGGAGCCTGCAGTGAACCGAGATCGCGCCACTGCACTCCAGCCTGGGTGACAGAGTGAGACTCCGTCGCAACAAAAAGAAAAAAAATATATATATATATGGTAGATGCAGCAGTGAGAAGAGCCTTGTAGGCACGCCCAGTCTTTAGCTCAAGCCCAGGGAAGCCACCCCTGACTATATCTCACAAGGGCCCTGGGGGAAGGCAGACGGCAAAATTTGGAAGGGGTCACAGTGTGAAAGGAGCGTCCAACTGAAATTTGTTATAATTCTGACTGGGCACAAATCCTCTGGAGCAGAATCTGGGGACGAACGGAACTGCTGGAGAAAGAGCAGAAGTTACTGCCAACATTGTGGGCAGACAGGGAGGCACATGGCCTGAAAGCTGTGCTTGCTTTCTCAGCAGGAAACTTATAGCCTGGAGTGAGGTCTGAGTCCATCCTGAAGGCTGCAGGGAGATAAATTCAATGCTGTTAGTGTGGCACAGCAGGAGCAAAACCTGCCTCGCCAACTGCATGGGAGCTGGGTGAAGCCTATTGCTACCAGGTTTCCCCTACTTCTCTGGTGACAGAGGCAGCCATAATGCCCTCTGGAACATAATTCCATTGGCTGGAGAAAAACCCTCCACCCCATCCCTCACAGTGGCTGCCGCAAGCCCCCCGCCCGAGGAGAGTCTGAGCTCAGACCTGCCTAACCCTGTCCACACCTGAGGGCATTTCTCTACCCACCTGGTAGCCAATCACAAAAGACGTAAACTCTTGGGAGCTTTATGACACCACTCATTGCCTGAGAAACTGAATATTTATCTTGGCCAACTTAGGGCAAGCTTATATCCACCTTCTACTATTGTAGCTGGTGCCCTCTTGAAAGCACCACATCCTGGCTGGAGGCCAACCAACTCAGGACATTACAACAATTCACGACAGAATAACTGCTCTAAGAAAGGAGAAAACAGCTAATTCCACTGGCTGAAAAATCTTGACTAACCAGTGGTCTTCGGTCTGTTCACATGACAACTGCACTGCTAGCATAACCAGCATTTGAGAAAGCCACCACACTAAGTCTATCTACAACCAAGGATTCTCACAGAGTCTACTTCACTCCCCTACCACCTCCACACTGGACCCCAGCAATAGATCCAAACTAAGAAGAAATCTCTGAATTGCTAGATAGAGAATTCAGAAGGTTGATTTTAAGCTACTCAAAAAGATACCAGAGAAAGGTGAAAAACAACTTAAATAAATTTTTTAAAAACACAGGATATGGATTAAAAATGCCCCAGGGACGTAGATATCATAAAGAAGAAACAATCCAACTTCTGGAAATGAAAGACACACTTAGAGAAATACAAAATGCACTGGAAAGTTTCAACAATAGGATCCAACAAGTAGAAGAAAGAACTTCATAGCTCAAACAACAAGCCTTTCGAATTAACCCAGTCAGACAAAGACAAAGAAAAAAGAACTTTAATAAATAAACAAAGCCTCCAAGAAATTTGGGATTATGTTAAATGACCTAAGAATGATTGGCATTCTTGAGGAAGAACAAAAATCTAAAAGTTTGGAAAACATATTTGAGGGAATAATCAAGGAAAACTTCCCTGGCCTCGCTAGAGATCTACACAACCAAATACAAGAAGCTCAAAGACCACCTGGGAAATTTATCACAGAAAGATTATCGCCCAGGCACATAGTCATCAGGTTATCTAAAGTCAGGACAAAGGAAAGAATCTTAAGAGCTGTGAGGCAAAAGCATCAGGTAACCTATAAAGGAAAACCTATCAGATTAACAGCAGCCTATAAGCCAGAAAAGACTGGGGTCTTATCTTTAGCCTCCTCAAACAAAATAATTTCCAGGCAAGAATTTTGTATCCAGCAAAACTAAGCGTCATAAATGAAGGAGAGATAAAGTCTTTTTCAGACAAACAAATGCTGAGAGACTTCACCGCTACCAATCCAGCACTACACAAAATGCTAAAAGGAGTTCTAAGTCTTCAAACAAAACTCCAAAATACACCAAAATAGAACCTCCTTAAAGCATAAATCTCACAGGGCCTATAAAACAGTAATGCAAAGGAAAAAAATAAGGAATTCAGGCAACAACTAGCATGAGAAATAGAACAGTACTTCACATCTCAATATTAACACTCTCCACTTAAAAGATACAGAATGGCAGGAAGGATAAAAATTCAGCAACCAAGTATCTTCAGTCTTCAAGAGTCATCTAATGTGTAAGGACTCACAAAAACTTAAGGTAAAGGAGTGGAAAAAGATATTCCATACAAATGGAAAACAAAAGCAAGCAGGAGTAGCTATTCTTATATCAGTCAAAACAGATTTTAAAGCAACAACAGTTAAAAAAGACAAAGAGGGACATTATACAATGATAAAAGGATAACTCCAACAGGAAAATATCACAATCCTAAACATATATGCACCTAACATGGGAGCTTCCAAATTTATAAAACAATTATTACTAGACATGAGAAATGAGATAGACAGCAACACAATAATAGTGGGGACTTCAATACTCCACTGACAGTACTAGAAAGTCATCAAGACAGAAAGTCAACAATGAGACAATGGACTTAAGTTACACTAGAAGAAATAAACTTAACAGATATTTACAGAACATTCTACTCAACAACTGTAGAATATACATTCTTCTCATCAGCACATGAAACATCCTCCAAGATAGACCACATAATAGGCCACAAAACAAGCCTCAACAAATTTAAGGTAATCAAAATTATATCAAGTCCCCTCTCAGACCACAGTGGAATAAAATTGGAAATTAACTCCAAAAGAAACCTTCAAAACTATACAAATACATGGAAATTAAATAATTTGCTCCTGAATGATCTTTGGGTCAACAGTGAAATCAAGATGCAAAATTCTCTGAACTGAATGATAATAGTGACACAACTTGTGAAAACCACTCGGACACAGTAAAAACAGTCCTAAGAGGAAAGTTCATAGCATTAAATGCCTATATCAAAAAGTCTGAAAGAGCACAAATACAAAATGTAAAGTCACACCTCAAGGAACTAGAGAAACAAGAACAAACCAAACCCAAACCCAGCAGAAGAAAAGAAATAACAAAGAGAGCAGAAGTAAATGAAATTGAAACAAAAAAATACAAAAGATAAATGAAACATGAAGCTGATTCTTTGAAACGATACATAAAATTGATAGACCATTAGTGAGATTAACCAAGAAAAGAGAGGATCCAAATAACCTCAATTAGAAACAAAATGGAAGAAAATGCCACTGATATTACAGAAATATAAAATATCATTCAAGGCTAATATGAACACATTCACAGGCACAAACTAGAAAACCTAGAGAAGACAGATTCCTGGAAATATACAACCCTCCTAGAATAAATCAGGAAGAAATAGAAACTGTGAACAGACCAATAAAAAGCAGAAAGATTGAAATGGTAATTTTTAAAAAACTGCCAACGATAAAAAATCACAGATTCACATGGACTCACAGCTGAATTCAATCAGACATTCAAAGAAGAGAATTGGTACCAATCCTACTGAAACTATTCCAAAACAGAGAAGGAGAGAATCCTCCCTAAATTATTCTATGAAGCCAGGATCGCCCTAATACCAAAACCAGGAAAGGACATAATAAAAAAGAAAACTACAGACCAATATCTCTGATGAAAATAGATGCAAAAATCCTCAACAAAATACAAGCTAACATAATCCAACAGCATATCAAAAAGATCATACATGGTGATAAATTGGGTTTCATGCCAGGGATGCAAGGATGATTTAATACACACAAGTCAATAAATGTGATAGATCACATAAACAGATTTGAAAACAAAAATCATATGATCTCAATAGATGCAGAAAAAGCATTTGACAAAATCCATCATCGCTTTTTTATTAAAACCCTCAGCAAACTTGACATACAAAGATCATAACTTAAGGTAATAAAAACCATCTATGACAAACCCACAGCCGACCTTATACTGAACGGGGAAAAGTTCAAAGCATACCCCCTGAGAACTGGAACAAGATAAGGATGCCCACTCTCACCACTTCTATTCAACATAGTACTGGAAATCCTAGCCAGAGCAATCAGACAAATCAGTAAATAGGAAGTCAAACTGTCACTGTTCACCAATGATATGACTGTATACCTAGAAAACCATAAATACTTATCCAAAAAGCTCCTAGATCTGATAAATGAATTCAGTAAAGTTTCAGGATACAAAATCAATGTACACAAATCTGTAGCACTGCCATATACTAACAGTGACCAAGCTGAGAATTAAATCAAGAACTCAACCCCTTTTATAGTAGCTGCAAAAAAATAAAATACTTAGGAATATACCTAACCAAGGAGGTTTACTGGGGGAACCAGCCCCCAATATTTCAAAGTATGTTCTTTTCTATTTTCCCTAAGTGTGGGCCAGTCTGAGAAATAAAGAGAAAGAGTACAAAAGAGAGAAATTTACAGCTGGGTCTCCGGGGGTGATATCACATGTCAGCAGGTTCCATGATGCCCACCTGAGCCGCAAAACCAGCAAGTTTTTATTACGGATTTCAAAAGGGGTGGGGGTCTATGAATAGGGAATGGGTCACAGGGATCACATGCTTCAGAGGGCAGTAAAAGATCACAAGGCAGAGGGCAAAACTAGAATCACTGATGAGGTTCCACATCCCGCTGGGCACACATTGTCATTGATAAACATCTTAACAGGAAACAGGGTTCGAGAGCAGAGAACCAGTATGACTAGAATTTGCCAGGCTGGAATTTCCTAATCCTAGCAAGCCTGAGGGCACTGCAGGAGACCAGGGCATATTTCATCCCTTATCTTCAACCATGTAATTCAGACACTCCCAGAGTGGCCATTTTAGAGACCTCCCCCGGGAATGCATTCTTTTCCCAGGGCTATTCCTTGCTGACAAAAGAATTCAGCGATATTTCTCCTATTTGCTTTTGCAAGAAGAGAAATATGACTCTGTTCTGCCTGGCCCTGCAGGCAGTCAGACCTTATGGTTATCTCCCTTGTTCCCTGAAAATTGCTGTTATCCTGTTCTTTTCAAGGTGCCCAGTTTTCATATTGTTCAAACACACATGCTTTACAAACAATTTATGCAGTTAACGCAATCATCACAGGGTCCTGAGGTGACATACATCTTCAGCTTACAAAGATGACAGGATTAAGAGATTAAAGTAAAGACAGGCATAGGAAGTTATAAGAGTATTGATTGGGGAAGTGATAAATGTCCATGAAATCTTCACAATTTATGTTATTCCACTGTGGCTTCAGCCGGTCCCTCCATTCAGGGTCCCTGACTTCCCGCAATAGAGGTTAAACACCTGTACGAGGAAAATTAAAAACACTGCCGAAAGAAATTATAGATGACACTAACAAGTAGAACCACGTCCCATGCTCATGGAAGGGTAGAATCAACATTGTGAAAATGACCATACTGCCAAAAGCAATCTACAAATTCAATGCAATCCCCATCAAAATGCCATCATCATTCTTTACAGAACTAGAAAAAAACAATCCTAAAATTCATATGGAACTACAAAAGAGCCCACATAGCCAAAGTAAGATTAAGCAAAACGAATAAATCTGGAGCATCACATTACCTGACTTCAAAATATACTGCAAGGCTATAGTCACCAAAACAGCATGGGAATGGTATAAAAACAGGCACATAGACAAATTGAACAGAATAGAAGTCCCAGAAATAAAACCAAATACTTACAGCCAACTGATCAAACAAAAACATAAAGTGGGGAAAGGACAGCGTATTCAACAGATGGTACTGGGGAAATTGGCAGTCCACATGCAGAAGAATTAAACTGGATCCTCATCTCTCACCTTATACAAAAATCAACTCAAGGTAGATCAAAGACTTAAATCTAAGACCTGAAACCATAAAAATTCTAGAACATTGGAAAAACTCTTCTAGACATTGGCATAGGCAAAGAGTTCATGACCAAGAACCCAAAAGCAAATGCAAAAGAAACAAGATAAATAGATGGGACCTAATTAAACTAAAAAGTTTCTTCAAAGGAAAAGAAATAATCATCAGAGTAAACAGCCCACAGAGTGGGAGAAAATATTCGCAAGCTATACATACAAAAAAGGACTAATATCCAGAATCTACAAAAAACTCAAACAAATCAGCAAGAAATAAACAAATACTCCCATCAAAAAGTGGGCTAAGCAGAGGAACAGACAATTCTCAAAAGAAAATATACAAATGGTTGACAAACATATGAAAAAATGCTCTACATCACTAATTATCAGGGAAATGCAAATCAAAACCACTATGTGATACCAACTTACTCCTGTAACAATGGTCATAATTTAAAAATAAAAAAAAAATAGACGTTGGGGTAGGTGTGATGAAAAGAGAACACTTCTATGCTACTGGTGGGAAATTAAACTAGTACAACCTATGGAAAACAGTACAGCGATGCCTTAAAGAACTAGAAATAGATCTACCATTTGATCCAGCAATCCCACTACTGGAGGAAAAAAGCCATTGTATGAAAAAGACACTTGCACACACATGTTTACAGCACCATGATTCACAATTGCAAAAATATGGAACCACCCCAAATGCCCATCAGTTAATGGGTGAATGAAGAAAATGTGATATATATATATGTGATATATATATATGTGATCTATATATATATAGATCACATATATATATATATGATCTATATATAGATCACATATGATATATATGTGATCTATATACCTTAGAATACTACTCAGCCATAAGAAAGAATGAAATAACATTTGCAGCAACCTAGGGGGAATTAGAAACCATTATTTTAAGGGAAGTAACTCAAGAATGGAAAACCAAATATTGTATGTTCTCACTTATAAGTGGGAGCTAAGCTATGAAGACACAAAGGCATAAGAATTATATAATGGACTTTGAGGACTTCCAGGTATGAGTAGGAGCTGGGTAAGGGATAAAAGACTACACACTGGATACAGTGTACATTCCTCAGGTGATGGGTGCACCAAAACCTCAGAAATCACCACTAAAGAACTTATCCATATAACCAAACACCACCTGCTCCCCAAAAACTATTGAATTAATTTTTCGAAATGATTTTTTAAAAAACTTTTATTGGAAGGACCCTCCGGAGTTCTGAGGAGGAGGCCTGAGCATATGTGGGGAAGGCACAGATGAACACATAGGAGGGATCTCTAAGAAAACAATGGCCACCAGGTCACTGCTAGACTCACCACAGGGCCTTCTAAACCAGGGGGCCCCTCCACGAGCATACCCTGTGGAGTCAAAGGTTAAAACTCACAGGTGACAGGGCCAGCACACTAAACCCCACTTGCTTCTCCTCTTTCCACCACCTCAGCCCTGTGACCAGCATGACTTACAGGTTCCAGCACTGCAGGCTCTCTCTTCTCTCCCTTCAGCCCCCGGGGCCCATGGGCAGCCTAAGGGAGACACACATGTAACCCCAGTGGGGCCCATGAGCAGCCAGGACACCAGGCCTGCCCCCATCTCAACTCCAACCTCGATTTTGGGTCCTCTGGAGACCAGACCAGCCCTACCCACAAGCCCCACAGGCTTCCTCTAAATACTTCTGTTCACAAAACTCTCATGCCTGCCAAGGAGATCTCAGGGTTCCCTGCACCCCAGTTCTCAGTCCCACCTCAGCAAACACAACCTCTCCAAATCCTGAAGAGCCTCTTTCAGAAAGAGGACTTTGAGTCTTTCAGTCTTTCTCCAAAAAAGAAAAGGTATATGCCCTTATGCACAAAATTTTATTTAGAATTTGAAGGAGTTCAAAAATGTAAAAACCCTGCACAGGTTAAGTATCCATACTCCAAGTAAATTTGGAGAGCATTTCCCAGAGATATTCCAAACTCAGGCCTCATAACTGCCTTTTGCAAAACATACAGTTCTTGGGCTCAGTTATCCAAGCCCCAGAGCAGCCCCCTACAATGCACCCCACAGTTCCTCTCCCAGCAGGATGCTTTGCCCTTCTTCTGGCCCTCATGTACACTCCAAGCCAACCAGTTCCCTCCCTTGCACACCTCCATTCAGATGCCTGTTCCCAAATCCAGGCCATAGCCAAGATAAGGGTGGGGAGAAGGTGAAACATTCACCACCACCCCAACTCCCCAAAACAAAGATCTTCAGAATGCCCCTCTCCACCTTCATCCTGACAGCAATGATCCGTTTCAAAATTCTCCCAGATCCCACATCAACCCCAAAGACCCAGACAGCAGCATAAAGGAAAGGCAGCAGAAGCTCACGGGTGCCAAGAGCAGGAGGTGTGGGATGCAGCAGCAGGGTAGAAAAGGCAGCCATAACTGCAAGGCAGGCAGAAGATGTAGCAGAGTAGACAGGAAGCAGTCCAACTGACAGAGAATACTGGAAGATATGAGAACAACTAAGGGACACAAAATAAAATGACAAACACTTGGATGCAAGAGTGATGCCAGGGCCAAGGAAAATTAAACATGGCCAAGATGGCCACAAAACAAACTGGACAAACAGGAAGTGGCTGTACAGACAGGAAGCAGCCAAGAAAAGAGGATCTGGGAAGTGAACCTTCAACAATATGGCTACCATGACCCAGAGTGAAAAGAAAGGCACAAAACAGGTACAATGGGACTCCTGCAGAGGGAATTATGCATGCAAGGCTTAGTGGGTAGATGAGCGGGAGGTACAGAGTAGATGGAATCAGATGAGTGAATAGATAGATGGGTGGAATTGAATACATGGTTGAGTGAACGGTTGGATGTGAAGTGAGTGGGTGAGGAGATGGGTGCATGAGTGTATTGAAGGAGAGAGTGGTTGAGTTCCAGGAAGGATAATGGATAGATGGGTGGCTGAACAGATGCATGCATCCTTGTATGCATGGGTAGATGGGGTGTGTGAGTGGGTGGGTGAGTGAATAGATGGATGGATAAGTTGAAGAGGACAGATGAACAAAAGCATAGTCGAATAGATGTGTGTAAAGAAGGGGAGAGTCATTAAGCAGGGGGAGGATGGACAGGTGAGTGGATATAAGCCTTCATGCATGAGTAGATGGGTAAGTTTGTGATGCATAGGTGGGTAAATGGTTGCGGGAGTGGGTGGTGGATGTGTGCGTAGGTGGACTGGTGAATGAGTGGATGGATGGGGTGGATGAGGAGAGAGATAGGTTCAAGGGATGGATAGATGGAGAGATGAAGACTGAAGAATAGAATAAGTGGCTGTGGACAGTCCTGCCACATAAGTGGACATCTAGTTATTCTGCAGAGATCAGCAGTCCTGAAGATAGGAAATGCAAATCAAAATTCACAAGAAAAAAAATGAAGGCTTAGGAAATAGGAACATTGCATACTGGGGCCAGAAGAGGAGTGGGCACAAAATAAGGGACCAGAAGTCACTCCTTTCTCTGATTTTTGTGGTAACCTCAAAGACTTTCTTCATCTGGGATACAGGCACCAACAATTATCACCCCACAGGTGTCCAACACTGGACTAGTTCTTCAGGGGAGAGGCCGGGTGACTCACATCTTGCAGTCAACAATGAGGGTGACAGACTGGCCCTTCATGGCCATAGCCACAAGGTGCCACCTGGTCATGGAGTGAGAGGTTCAAGTGACTGACTGAAGCAGGGGCGTCAACAGGGTTGGAGATCTGTTGATGAAAGTTGAAACCAATGACGATGAGAGCAGTAATCACAATAGCTGCCATTTATCAAGTGCTTACAGTGCAACAAACACTGTGCCATCACTTTCTCACTTGTTTGTGCCAATTCTATTTACTGTCCATCCTAAGATGTAGAAACTGAGGCTCAAAAAATTTAAGTAACTTGCCCAAGGTACAGGCTAACACAACTTGCAGAGAAGGATGCACTCTAAGCCCAAACTCTGGGCTAGAAGTGACTGAACTTTGGGCAGTGCGTAGGTGTGTTGTGGCCAAAAGAAGGAACAGGGTTTCACAGTTTAGAGCGTACAGGTTCTAGGGCACTTTCTCACAAAAGTGTGGGCCAGGCAGACCAGAGGAGCAAATAGACTTACTTGCCAACTACTAGGGTGAGGCCTCAGAAGACGGGCTAAGCAGGTTGAAGTCGTCCAGTCTGATCCTCATACAGGAAGCTGACAAGTTGGCCTGGCTCCAGGCTCAACTGTTGGACACCTGGGCACTGCAGAGAATCAGGAGGGGAGCTTGGAGACCAGGACGGGTCCAGAAAACAGTCAGGAGAAAGAAATCTTTAGGAAATCCTCCTGGTACCCGAGAGAAATACACACAGAGTGAGAGGCAAAGAGAGCCACCACCCCTTTCCTCCTGGTGTCTGATTCCAGACCCCACCCCATTACCTCCCTCACCGTGTCACTACACTTAGGAAGAGGTAGAGGGTGGGTGTGCTGAGTTGGGCAGTTTATGACACTCAGTAGATAGACAGATACCCCTTGCCCTCCAGACACCATCAGGGAAGTAGGGGAAACTCAGGCCCAGGAGCAAATCCACAGGGGGTGCACCTGGGAGAGTCCATGAGGGTCAGGGGAAGGGACACGCCCTCAGGAGGGAATAAATGGGGGACTTTGTCTCAGAAGGGAGTGCAACTTGCACTTGTGGTCACAGAGGGCTGCTAAGAACTCCTCAACAGGACAGTTCAGTTATGGGAACTGGGAAGGGGTAAGACTAGGAAGAGAGGAGGCTGGAGAAGTGTGTGATGTCGCTGAACAGTGTGCAGCAGGAGGGAAGGGGTGCAGATGAGAAGAGAACTTGAAGGGTCAGCAATTCCATCAGCCTTTGGGGTAGAGAGCACATGAATTGAGAAAGAAAGCTGAGATATAGCTTGTAAAACAGCTGGAATTCAGATCTCTCCTAAGTCCTCTTCCTTTCACATATTTTGTCACCTGCCTCGAGACACACACAGTTACTGTCATCCCTGGGTTCAGTACTGTAAGCCCAGACCCATCTTCCCTGCTCCCTTTATACCTGATCCTCCTATTTCTCTGCCCTGTTTAGGTCCCAGGCAGAAGCTAGGTGGTCATCTCTGTGCCCTCTCTGGTCCTCCAGGTGAACAGAACTTAGCATTCAAGGAGTTCCCTAAAGTCAATTAATTTCACCCCCAAACCCCAGCTGACTTTGAGGGCATCCGCATGCATCATGTCGCCAACATATCCTGACAAGGGGAAGGGCCACATTTCTGAAGCCAGAGAAGAAGCTCAATTCTGGAATGATGGGGATGAAGGAGAAATAATTGCTCACATTATGTAAAACTGCTCTCTGAAAGGATTTCAAAACCAAGGTAAGATTTCTGAAATGACTTCTGTTGAACTTCTGACTCCACTCTACTTCCTCCTTCCTGGAAATCTTTACCTCCTTGGCTTATGTGCCAGTATATTCTACTAATTCTTCTGCCTCTCTGCTTCTCCATTTTCTTTGAATAGTTCTCTTTTGACATTTTGTTCATTATATATTTTCCATTAATTTAGATTTCTTAAGATATTTCATTAAAATATGATTGACTTTTATTACTGAGTTCTTTTGGTATCCTCCTAAATTTTGCACCTAAGGTAAGTGCATCCCTAGTCCCAGCCTGGCTTTCCACACTGTCTCTTAATATCTAACATTCTCTATTTATTTCATTCATTTCATGTAAATAATTGTAAATCCTTATAGATAGAATTATAAATGTGTGTAAACAATGAAAAATTGAAAACAGAGAGAATATATCCTATGTCCTACTGGATATTAACATATACTACAATGTCATAGTAAAAAAATAGTATCAAAAGCCTACTATATGTCGAACATTGTTAGATGCTAAATATTCAAATAAAAGTAAGACATAGGTCTTGTCCTCCTGATGTTTACAGTTCACAGAAGAGAACACAAGTGACAAGACAACAGCAGGCCCAGATGGATAAGTGCAGATATGGGGCAGGCACAAGATGCTGCTGTCAAGGCATCAGGGAAGGCTTCCTGGGGAACAGATGGCTTCAATGTAGGCAGTCCGAAAACAGGGCAGAAGCCACTTCTCACACAGGAGGAAGCAGGTTCAAAAGTGTGGGCCCAGTGTGGCAATGACATATCTGAAGAACTTCAGCTGCTTCAGTATGAATGGAGCCAGCTTTGGATGTGGAACAGCAGCAAGAAAAAAGGAAAAATAGACAGGCAGGGGCTGGATCATGACAGATGTTACATGCAAAGCTCAGGAGTGGCTACTCTGTCCTGGAAGTCATAAGGAATCATTGAAGGATTTTAAGCAGGAGAGTGATGGCGCATTTGCAATTTAGGAAGATCACTACGGCAACAGTGGGCAGCATGAGTGAAAGAAGTTGGTTCAAGAGGCAAGACTAATAGTGCCTGAACAAAGAGTGAGGAAATGGGCATAGGAGTAAAATGATGGAAGAAGAGGACTTAATTTGATTGACATTAAAGGGATTATTGGTGAGTGATGTCGGTGGCATCCGACTTAGAAAACTCCCAGATAACTCTTATTCCTAGACTGGCCAATGCAATCATCTCTTTTGTGTGTGTGTGTGTAAGTGTGTGTCACTTTTCTAAATTATTTTGATTGACAAAAATTATTTATATTTATCATGTATAATATGTTGTTTTGAAATGTATGTACATCATGGACCGGCTACATCAAGCTAAAGAACTTATGGCTCACCTCACATACTTATTTTTTGTGGTGAGAACACTTAAAATCCACCCTTTTAGCAATTTTCAACAATACATTGTTAGCAACTATAGTCCATGTTATACAATAAAACTCTTAAAATTATTCCTCCAATCTAAATGAAATGTATCTTTTGAAATGTATCCTAAATGAAATGAAATGGATGTATCCTTTGACCAACATCTCCCCAACCCAATGCAAACATCTTGATTCCATTCATTAAAAAGGGTAATGAGAGAAGACAGCCTGACTGAGAGAAGAGACTGAGTTCAGTGTGGGGCTATTGCACTTAGAATATCTAAAAGTTATCTAAGGAAAAATAATATGTAAACATTTTTGTATGATGGGTGGTCTCAGTAGAGGAGTTTAAGCCAGAGAACTGAGAGTCATCAAGCATAGGTGCAGGTTAGATGAGCTTTTCCAGGAAGAGTGCCAAAAATCAGAAATGCAGGGATCTCAGGGTATGATGAGAGAACATAATAATTAAGAGGAGATTTCAAAGGATGATAAGGAGGATTCAGTAAATAGGAGAAAAATAAGGACAGAGTAGCTCATTAGAAAGAAGTGGATTATGGTGCAAATATTATCAGTAACTCAAGTCAGAGGCACTGACAAGAACCCACTGGATTTGACCTTCTACAGAGGTTTCTGATGGCCGTGATGAGAGGATCCTCAGGGGTGTACTGGAGACAAAAGTCAGAAGCTTAGCTCCAAGTGTGAGGACACAGAGAGAGTGTCTCTAGGGTAGGATGCAGACTGAAGGCAAGGTTGTTTTTTATTAGTTGGTTCATGGTTATGTTGCTTTTTTCCCCCGTAGGTTATAGTGGTACAGGTAGTATTTGGTTACATGAGTAAGTTCTTTAGTGATGATTTGTGAGATTTTGGTGCACCTATCACCTGAGCAGTATCCCTTGCCCCCTCCCACCTTTCCTCTCAGGTCCCCAAAGTCCATTGTATCATTCTTATGCCTTTTCATCCTCTTAGCTTAGCTCCCACATATCAGTGAGAATATATGTTTAGTTTTCCATTCCTGAGTTAGTTCACTTAGAATAATGGTCTCCAATCTCATCCAGGTCGCTGCAAATGCCATTAACTCATTCCTTTTTACGGCTGAGTAGTATTCCATCATATATATATCACAGTTTCTTTACCCACTCGTTGATTGATGGGCATTTGGGTTGGTTCCATGATTTGTGATTGTGAATTGTGCTGCTATAAACACGTATGTGCAAATATCTTTTTCATATAATGACTTATTTTCCTCTGGGTAGATGCCCAGTAGTGGGATTGTTGGATCAAATTATAGTTCCACTTTTAGTTCTTTAAGGAATCTCCTCACTGTTTTCCACAGTGGCTGTACTAGTTTACATTCCCACCAGCAGGGTAGAAGAGTTCCCTGATCACCACATCCACACCAATATCTACTGTTTTTTTATTTTTTTATCATGGCCATTCTTGCAGGAGTAAGGTGGTATCACATTGTGGTTTTGATTTGCATTTCCCTGATCATTAGTGATGTTGAGCATTTTCTTATGTTTCTTGGCCATTTGTATATCTTCTTTTGAGAATTGTCTATGCATGTCCTTAGCCCACTTTTTGATGGGGTTGTTTGTTTTTTCTTACTGATTTGCCTGTGTTCATTGTAGATTCTGGATATTAGTCCTTTGTCAGATGTATAGATTGTGACTACTCTGTGGGTTGTCTGTTTATTCTGCTGATGGTTCCTTTTGCCATGCAAAAGCTCTTTAGTTTAATTAAGTCTCAACTATTTATCTTTGTTTTTATTGAATTTGCTTTTGGGTTCTTGGCCATGAAATCCCTGCCTAAGCCAATGTCTAGAAGGGTTTTTCCAATGTGATCTTCTAGAGCTTTTATAGTCTCAGGTCTCAGGTTTAAGTCCTTAATCCATCTTGAGTTGATTTTTGTATAAGGTGAGAGATGAGGACCCGGTTTCATTCTCCTACATGTGGATAGCCAATTATCCCAGCACCATTTGTTGAAAAGGGTGTCTTTCCCCACCATATGTTTTTGTTCGCTTTGTCGAAGATCAGTTGGCTGTAAGTATTTGGGTTTATCCCTGGGTTCTCTATTCTGTTCCCTTTGTCTATGTGCCTATTTTTATACCAGTACCATGCTGTCTTGGTGACTATGGCAGGGAACGTGAGCTTTTTCCCCGCAATCCTATACTGGCCCCTTCTACTGCATAATTATTTTCTTCTCTTGAATTTTACATGCTAGTCTTCTATTTACATTTTAACATTTATATAAACAAATGATGCCACTTTTACATTTTCTTTATTAGATTAGGAGGTCGTACAGGATCACATTTATAGGTCTTTAAATTAAGGAGTAATATTCTTTGAAAGTTTATGAAACTATTCAGTATAAACACCACAGAATCAGATGTTTTGGAAAATGTAGGGTCTTTTATGACATTTTTTCATTTCTTCCTCATTCACTGTATAATTTTTAGTCCCATTTTTCCAAAGCAATTACAGATCCGTTGATCTAATTTGACCTTAAGAGCCCTGCTGTAAAGGCAGGTCATATCATCCCCATACTGAAGACAAAGAACTGAAGTCCAAGACAGGCAGTGTCCTTCAAGCTGCATACTTCCATGGTAGTGTAGGTGGTGTGTCCATGCTCCCAGGTGTAAGGCCCCTAGACTGAGCCCTGCTGACCCTGATGACAGTCCTATGGAAGGAGCCAGTATCCCCCGCACATCTCAGGACTCACAGACATGTGGGAGGAAGAAAATATGAATGTGCACTAATCTGAAGCACGGCCTTGAACAAAGGCAAAACAGACTCCAGGCCTCATTTTCAGTTCTGGGATGGATACTCTAATCTCTCTAAATCATGCCACTGAATGACCTTTTACACATTGAGATAGCATTTCTTCCACACCAGGCCATGTCCTGTGGGTGTGTGAGGTGTGGCAGAATTGGGGAAATGATAATCCCTGTAGGTGGGCCAGCAGAATATCTGAGATCACCTTCAGAGCAAAGAAAACACATCATCTCCCCAAAACTCATGACTCTGACTGGTTAAAATGAGTGTCAGTGTTCTCCATCTGTCCTCGTAACAGCATCACTGGCTCTATATTGTCAGATCTTTAATACTAACTTTCTGCCCAGTGAGCAATGACTCATACAAAGCTCAGTGCCCATTGGTTCTTTTCTCAGAGTCTGTCCAATCCTAGGGTCACAGAAGACTGCTTGGGTTCATGGTCTCTAATATTTCAGACAGGAGCTCCCTTTAATGAGTTCTTGTTTTCCTGACTGCAGCTCTCTTCATTCTGCCAACCTTTTCCAACTCCATGATGATCCTGCAGGTTTCAGGGGGCCCCTGGACAGTGGCTCTGACAGCATTACTGATGGTGCTGCTCATATCTGTGGTCCAGAGCAGGGCCACTCCAGGTAAGAGCAGAGCTGCTATTCCTGGAGGGTCTGGCTCAGGGAACAATTCCTAGGGGACTTTCTCTTTATGGAACCAGACTCTGAGACAGCATGTGGGGCTCCTGCCACGGCCTAGTGTCCTTCTATCACAGCTGGAGAATCAAACTCACCTCCTATAGGATAGGTTGCTATCCACCAGGTCTATTCTCTCTCCAGGAACATGGACACAGTAAATAAGGGGAGGTGCTCAGGGGTCAAGTTGCTTGTCTATGGGGAAATGGGGCCAAGAGGTTCAGGATAACCTTGGACAGACAAGGTTTCAGAGAGAGAGGTTGGCAAGTGCAGACTCCTGGGTGTGCTCACATCTGCATCCAACCTTGAGGGGACTCAGGCAGAGAGCCCTTAGCTGGTGTGTCCAGACTACAAGTATCACTGAGGATTCAGTGCTCACAGAGAATGCCTCTCATTCTCCAGGGTGGAGCAGGAGCCAATGCTCCCTGGACAATGAAGGCAAGATGGGAGGGAGGGGGACAGGTTCGAGCCCCTAAAGGCACTCTTGTTGAAGGTATTTCTCCCAGCCTCCCCAGAACTTGGTTAGAGTATTAGGATGGGTTGAAACCTGTCAGAAGAATGAGATAAGGATGTGTGAGTACGTGAAAGAGATTGAGTGTAGGTTATCAGACAGCCAAGAAAGCAGTAACCAAGGGAAAAACCTCTGTCTCCTGCTGTCTCCTTGTGGCTGGTGTAATATTATGGCTTCTATGACCCATTGTTTTTCTCTCAGGATGTTCTTACTTTTCTGGTCCAAATTTACACCAACACCCTGAGAGGAAGGACTGCAGAGTAGGTGTCTTAGTTTTCCACTGACTTCCACCTTTCTGCATAGACCCTCCCTCTGAGACCCTTCCACATCCACCTAGGACACCCCTAGAAAGTGCTGTTCTCATGTCACCTCCTCATTTTCCAGGGTAACAGTATTCGAATCTCCTGAGGACAGCCCCTCAAACCCCAAAGCCCCTCACCTATTACCTCAGGTTCATTGTCCGGGAAAGGGTGGACAAACTGCACTTGTAGTCACAGGGGTGCTGAGAACTAACCAGCAGAATGGCTCAGCCCTGGGAACTGGAGAGGGGTGAGGTTGGGGAGAGAGGAGGCTGGAGCAGCGCTGGTGACACTGAACAGTGTCCAGCAGGAGGTCCATAGCAACAGTGTCCATAGGCAGAGTTGTTTGTAGGATGAGGGGTGGTGTTGGGAAACGCCGTGGAAACCCTCAAGGTGCGGGGTAGCAGAAAGCACAGGAGGGAGCGTGATGATGGTGGGCAGTGAACAGGTGGATGGGCGAAGACTGGGTTGAGGTTGGTAGGGGAAATGAGATGAGGCAGTGGAGCCATGTGACAGGAACCGAGGGTGGGTTACCAGAGCTCCCCGTGTAGAATGAATGTCCAATCAAAGCCTGCTGGAGGGAGAGCTGGAGCCAAGGGGAGTGGGTAGAGTGGGCAGGGCCAATTCCACAATTCCCTGCATGCTCTTCCAACTCCACACACATCTCCATCCTCAGAGCACAAGAGGAAAGGCACAAGGAGCCAGGCTGTGGCTTAAAGTGAGAGAGGGGAGGGTGGAGAAAAGCTTGGCTGAGACAACACCTAGGGAGCAGGAGATGACACGGCAGGTGAAAAAACCAGACTCCTGGAGGCAACACCCTTTTGTCTCTGACAAGCTTTAAAATGGGCTTTTTACAGCTGAGTTTCTTACCTCACCCCACCCACTACCCCAAGCATTAGGGCCACACTCCCGAGTCCTCCTGTCACACCAGCTGGGCACTTGCAGAAGCTCATTGTGCATTTGAGTCTTTGGGTACTCACTCTTCTGTTAATCTAACTCCTCAAATAAAATCCCTAGCACAAAAGAGAGGGGGGAAGATCCAGTCAGCAAACAGCCAACAAACACTTTTCAACCATTAAGATCTGGTGCCCATGGAAAGTCTTCTTGAGGTTTTCCAGTAGCTCATAAGCTGATCCAGTTCCTCTTTCATATGCATTTATTTAGAATTTTGCTCCTATTCAAACAGGTCACACAGTGAAAAGAGGAAGGGAACTAACATAGATTGAGCAGTAACAGATACAATACTATGTATTTGACATATGTGAGCTCATTTGGTTCTCACAGCAGTTTTGCAAGGTAAATAGTATTATTACTATTTTGCCTTTCAAGAAATGGAGAGTTAGAAGGTTGTTTCTTGTCCAAGATAACTTAGTAATCAGTCGTAGTGCAAGAACTGGAATCCCTACCTGTGACATGTTCCTTTTCTTACCCATATGGACTCCATTATATCTTTCTGCAATTATATTTTAATATAACCTATTCTGAGTGAGAGATGAATTCACTCAGATCATTGGTTTTCAAATTGTGCTCTGGGTAACTCAATTGTCAAAGATTCCGCAAACAGGATAAAGTTTTCCATATACAAAAAAAAAATGAAGTTTCAAATTCCACCATATACTCATCACTTATATCTGCTTTGCAGGTAAAATTCCGTTTAAAAAGTTAAATGTTGCAAAAGAAAGTTTTGAAATTCTTACTCTTGACTAAAACATGTTCTCTTATTGGTGAATGAGGAAGAGGAACAAAGACTAACAAATTAAAATGAGAGGATACACACTCAGAGTGGGGCACTTGAATAGGGAGGGGCAGACTAAAGGGGCTGGGGGCGATGGGCCTGGGTGATTAGGGGGCTGGAGCCCAAGGCACTAGGAGAAGAGGCGGGTTAAGATATCTAAAGTCCTGGGATCTTGCCTTAGAGATGACACTGGAAACTGCAGGCCGAGTCTACGGTGCCGCTGTGCCCAGCCCCACCCCTTCTCTACTGTCCTCTGCCACCAGCTGTGCATCTTCTATGAGGGGTGAGGTTAATAAACGTGAGTTGCTAATTTGTAGAACATGAAACAGGTGTCCAAAACAAACCTTAATTTGCTGTGTGCAAATCACAGCACCTTAATTTCCCCACTGTGACCAGGAACAGATCAGGTCTGAAGAGGCTCAGACATGTGCTGGGTCATTGCTACTTCTGTATACACATGCACCTGCCGGACACTGCCCATGGTGCTCCCTAGGAAGAACTGCAGGTGGAAAAGGCTGCCACATTTCTTTATGTAAAAATGACACCATCAATGCCTCTAAACCTAAAGGAGTCCAGTCACTTAGCTTTCTGGTTGTTCTGGTGATTTTCATTGATTAAGATATTTTCCAGGTGTTTTGAGATCAAGTCTTTCTACAGCCATGTTTGAAAGTGAAAATTAACTTTCAGGCTATATAGTCTTTCTTATGGCAAACTTCAAGAAGTTTTAAGAAATGCATTTCTGGCCAAGTGCGGTGGCTCACGCCTGTAATCTCAGCACTTTGGGTGGCCGAGGAGGGCAGATCTCGAGGTCAGGAGTTCGAGACCAGCCTGGCCAACATGGTGAAACCCCATCTCTACTAAACATACAAAAATTATCTGGGCGTGGTGGCGCACACCTGTAATCCCAGCTACTCAGGAGGCTGAGGCAGGAAAACTGCTTGAACCCTGGAGGCGGAGGTTGCAGTGAGCTGAGATTGCACCACTGGACTCCAGCCTGGGCGACAGAGTGATACTCTGTAGAAAGAAAGGAAGAAAGGAAGGAAGGAAGGGAGGGAGGGAAGGATACTCCATTGAAAGAAGAAAGAAGGAAGGAAGGAAGGGAGGGAGGGAGGGAGGAATGCATGGAAATGCATTTCTGCATTTCCAGCATGCAGAGATGTCCAGCATGCAGAACAGCAAGAGCAACTTGAGGTATTCTCAAGAAACTGGCAGAGAAGAGAGAGAACCTAGCTGTAGAAAGGGAAAGAAGGAATGGAGGGCTTCCTGGAGGAGGTGGCATTTGAGCCAGGACTGACATCAGGATGGAAATGTCAGGCAGGGAGTTGGGTAGGGGGAGCAGCTCTGCCCTCCAGGTCCCCAACTCCTCCTATCCCTACTGTTTCTCTGCCTGAGGGACCCTCCCCCTGATGAGATTCTGCTCCTCCCTGAGACGTGAAATGTCTCCCCCTCCTCCTCCAGCCGCCAGCAGAAAGGGCTGCTTTCCCTTCAGCGTGCGCCCCTCCCTAATGATCACTCAGCCACCCTGAGCAGTGAGTCTCATTCTTTTCAGTAAATCCTCTCGCTGCGTGGTGAGAAAACTGATGCCTGGAGTCTGTGACCTGCCTAGGACCACAGAACTCGGTAGTAGGAAAAATCGTATTTTTAAATCCAGTCCTGAGTGGGAAGATTTGAGGAAATAGCTAATATTGAGGAGGGGGGTGTTGTTGGGAGTGGCACCACCCCCATCTCTCCCTGCTCTTCACAGAGAATTCCGTCTACCAGGAACGGCAGGAATGCTATGCGTTCAATGGGACTCAGCGCGTTGTGGACGGGCTCATCTACAACCGGGAGGAATACGTGCATTTTGACAGCGCAGTGGGGGAGTTCCTAGCAGTGATGGAGCTGGGGCGGCCCATAGGCGAGTACTTCAATAGCCAGAAGGACTTTATGGAACGGAAGCGAGCCGAGGTGGACAAGGTGTGCAGACACAAGTACGAGCTGATGGAGCCACTCATCCGGCAGCGCCGAGGTGAGGGCTGTGAACCAGGGCTCCTGGGGCAGCCGTGGGGGCCGGGCCCAGGGAGTAGGGGCAGCCGGGCCGGCCTAAGGGACCTTAGTGCCAGGAGGGAAGGGGACTTTGAGCTGGGGATTGATGGGAGGAGCCCAACCGGAGCTTGTCAGGAGGGTGAGCACGGAGATTGGGCTGAGCATGGAGTGAGGAGGATGGAGGGAGAGAGACCCCTGGGACTTCATCAGGCCTGGCAGCTGACTGCATGTGGGGTGAGGGGAAACGAGGCCACAGGACATCGTGCAGGGGTGCGGTGTGGAGATGAAGGTGGAGATGGCACAGCAGGCCACGCAGAGAAGAAACCTGCAGGGAGATGGCCGGGTTTGAGGTGCTTGAGGGGCCAGATGGGTGGTCTGATGGGCAGGTGAGAGAAGAGTTTGCAGCGGGGGAGGGGCCTGGCCTACATGAGACCACCCAGGGAGAGGGGACCCATCGGGAGGAGCATAGGACTGGATCCTGGGAACTGGACATTGTGATTTTGTAACGGCTCCATTGTCTGGGGTATATACCCTGGTTCTTTGTCATGGCCGAGAAAATTCACGACACAGACACACGTGAGGAGTGGGTTTGGGAGTGGAAAGTTTAATAGAAAAGAAAAGAGAGAAAAAATCCTTCCTCATGCTGAGAAAGTGGGTTGCCCAAAAGAGGGTCTGCGGTTTGTGGTGGAATGCAGTCGGTTTTGTACAGAGGTTGAGGAGGCGGTGATTGATTTACACAGCGCTCAGGGAATTGGTTTGACCAGTTGTGTCATTTACATAGCCCACGAAAAGACTGACTCTCCCACCCTAGTCTTTTATTATTCAAATACGGTCTCCAACTGGTGGTGGACAGGATACCTGTACATGTGGTTTTACCTGGAGGCTGCCATGACACCTGTAAACGTGGTGACAAGGAAAAGAGAGTGGGAACCGCCATATTGGATGTACCTGACTTCCAGGTACAGCTGCCAGCATTTACATATAAAAGCTTCTAGTTTGCATATCTATGCCTGAGTTTTCAGGCTGCTTCCTGTTAGAGAAGAAATGGTTTGGGGCTGCTTTTTATTAAAGGAAAATTCCACTGAGAATTTTTACCCTTTCTAGCTGCCTAAAAATAATTTCTTAATAACTCCTGTATTATTTCCTCCCTCAGGAGACGTAACCATAACTGCTGTTAGGGGGTGTTGGACGACGATTCTTTCTGGCTACTTCCTGCTGAAAAGGGGCGTCGTGTCGGGGGGCTGCAGTTGGGGCTCCTCCTGAGGTTGATCTAAGGCTTCTTGGAAGAATGGCATGTCCATGTGTGGCTTTGTTTGCAGCACCATTTGAAGTTTGATTGCTTCTAGGCAAAAAGAGATAAATTTTACAAGAAGGTTTAAAATATAGGGTTACCATATGAGTATTAAGATTACCACCTATAGACTGTAACTATGGCAGTAGAGTTTGATACCTGTTACACCAATGGATTGTAATACTGGTTTGTCTCCACTAGATGTCGCTGTACATTACCAGAAACGTTAATATAAAAGCATCATTTCCTTTGAGAAAACATGTTTCCCCCTTGACTTGCTATTAGGGCATAATTTTTGGTTTAGGCCATTCTTTATAACTTATGATATGATTGGGAGAAAAACGTTATTGGGTGGCTAAAATAACTTTGGTGTTAATCTTGGCAATTCCTTTCCTTTAATTATTAAATTTCTTAATTATTAAATTCTTTCATGACTTTCACAGACCCTCTTACAATGTACTCAACTTTCTGACTTGTCTTAAACAACCAGTCATTTCCTTTTAGGACAAGAATTTACTATACAAGATCCTTTCTTATATAAAATCCCTTTATTTGTAACCTTCTTTCCATAGCTTAGAGTGCACCATTTACCAATCTTCAATAAAAAAGTCCTATCAA
The DNA here is from genome assembly GCF_000001405.40 of Homo sapiens. NCBI lineage: Eukaryota > Metazoa > Chordata > Mammalia > Primates > Hominidae > Homo > Homo sapiens. The sequence goes on from NT_167244.2 coordinate 4,423,771, forward strand.
ACTTAGTGATAGTAAAATTTTCATGCTTACTTCTTGTCTGTAACTATTACTCCTGCTATAAGCAAAACAAACTTGACCAAATCCTTCCTGCAATTATTAATTCTGTCATAAAGATGATAATTAGGCAAAATATTACAGGAATTAGAATTTTACAACCAGAATTCCACATTGTGGGTGCCACAGTATACAGTTCTATTGCAAATAACAGCATGATGATAACAATTCCCACAAAAGTGACGTAGTAAATAATTTCCATTTAAAACTTTACTTGCCAAGATATAATGTTTCCCTTTGGGGATTTACAAAGTAACAAATGCAGTCCCATGTATAATTAAAATCTCTCTGCAAATATGCATTAAAAAAAAGTTCTAATACTGAGCAGTGAATTTTGAGAGGAAAGGTAGAAATGATAAAGAGTACCTGGTGAGGTAGGATTGGCGCTAAGGCGAGTAGCCCTCACTCATTTACTTACCTTTTATGATTTTCAGCTTAAGATCTTCTATATCTCCACATTGATATTCAGGATGTTCCTCTGGGCTGTCAAAGGTTGCTCCCTCAGCTTTTCAGGCTTTGACTTGAGTGTGATATATTCAGAGGTTGATACTTGTAACTTTTACTGCTGGGGGGGTTGAAAGAAGAATTGTGTAGGGCCCTTCCCAGCCTGGCTTAGGGAAGGAGAGAGAGATGAGTTTTCACCAATACCAAATTTTCTGGTGGTCCAATTTCCTGGGGTTGGCCTTTGGCTAGTTGTGTCAATTTCTGTTGGAAGTGAGCTAGAGAGGTTACATTTTTAAACAACTTAGAGGTTTTCTGCCTGAAAACAATCTCTGAGCACACTGATGATAAGTTTTATCCTTTCCTATGTGAAAAAGCTTGGTGAAGGATTTTAAGGACTTTCCATTGACTGGAGGCCAGTAAATGGAGTTTGTCATCCTCAGGGCTGGAATACCCTTAAGAAGTGGCTTATTTTATTTCTGCAGGGGAATACTGAGGTTTAATTTCTTTTATGGAGGCTTCCGAGATTAAAAGGGCTTGAAGTGTGTTAATGCCTTGAGGCTTCCCTGCCGCCTGCTTAGCTCCCTGCTCAGCTAACCTATTTCCTTTGGCTACTTCATCTGTTCCTCTTTGATGTTCCCTATAATACATTACTGCTATTTTTCGTGAAAGGAAAACTGAGGATAATAACCTGTTAATTTCCTGGTGATATTTTATAGGAGATGCTTTAGTGGTAAAAGAATGTCTTTCCTTTTAAATAGCAGCATGAGCATGGAGAACTAAGAAAGCATACTTGGAGTCAGTGGAAATGTTAGCTATCTTTCCCCTGCTTAATTTAAGTGCACTTGCAAGAACTATTAGTTCAGCTAATTGAGTGCTTGTGTCTGGGGAGAGACATTAGAGTGACTATTGCTTGTCCTGCCTTATGTATTTCTTGCTTTACCTGCTGTTTGTTAGCTAAAGTCTCCCCTAGAGGACAGTAATCCTGCTACATTATGTGGGGTGTAAACAGTTAAATTATTTCCTAGGGTTAATTTGGAGGCTTTTTTGACTAGTAGAGCCACCGTGGCAATGGCTTGGAAGCATGTGTAAACAATAGGTCCTCCTAACTGCAATTAGGAGGTTGAGAAAAATATTGGAATAGAGTTTTTCCTGAGACACCCCTTACACTCACGCTATGGGAAGAAGAGAGGCCTGGATTAAAGAGGAGAAAAGAGAGAGAGACTGGCTCGAGTGTTTAGAAGGAGGTCTAGTTTCCTTCCTTCAATTTCCAGAATCACCTGGTGGCTCCCGTGCTGTAATGGCAGTTTGAGCCACTGGAGCTGGGGTTTGAGCCCCAGGACCCATCAGTCCTGCTGGACCATCTGTGAGACTGGTTCTGACTCCAGTGACCTCCGTCTCCGGGGGCAGTTTGATTTCCAGTGGTCTCCACCACAGGCTGGATAGGGTTGAGGTGGCTTCCTCTTGCTGTTTGGGCACTCCTTTTTAAAATGCCCTGGCTTGCCACACTGATAGCAACTAGCGGATGCACCTCAGAAATCTTGGACTTTGCAAGCTTGCAAAGCTGCTACTAGAGCCTCTGTCTTTCTCCTGAGCTTTCTCTCTTTCTGGGGGGCCTCCTCCTGGTCCCTATTATAAGTGGCCACCCTCAGGAGGTTCCCCAAGGTGCTATCTGGTCCTATAGCGTGCTTCTACAGTTTCCTTCTAATATCAAGAGCTGCCTGTGTAATAAACTTGTCTTTACAATGAGCCATCCCTTGACTGAATTAGGGGCTAAGGAAGTGTGCTCTATTAGTGCCTCTCTCAGCCTTTCCATAAAAGCTGCAGGATTCCCATCTGGCTTTTGGTCTATCATAGACAGTTGAGAGGAATTAAGAGGTCAGGCCTTAGTTCTTCATAGACCCTCTAATATGCATATTTTAAAAATGCTTCCATTTCTATTCATTTGCAGAGCTACTGGGGTCCCAGTTGGGGTTGTCGAGAGGAACTGCTTCCCTTCCTACTGGGAATGGTGTTTCTGTTATTTTTTTCACTTTCCCTATCTCTTTTCTTCCCTTTTGGTGTATTATAGGAGATATGTTGCTCATCTCCAAAATTATCTGCTGCCTGCAGAGCTGCCTGCTTTTCAACTGCGGTTAGAGTTTGGTTTAGGAGCAGCATAACATCCTTCCATGTGAGGTGAAATACCTGAGTTAAATTCTGGACAGCTTCTATAACCTATTGGGGTTATCAGAAAATTAGCATAAGTCTTCCTTTGTTTGCCTAAGGTCCTGTAATGAAAAGGGAGCTTGAGGTTGAAGGGGGCCAGCCCCTCCACACCTGTGGGTATTTCTCATCAGGTGGGACGAGAGACTGAGAAAAGAAATAAGACACAGAGACAAAGTATAGAGAAAGAACAGTGGGCCCAAGGGACCAGTGCTCAGCATACAGAGGACCTGTGCCGGCTCTGGTCTCTGAGTTCCCTCAGTATTTATTGATCACTATCTCTATCATCTCAGTGAGGGGGATGTGGCAGGACTATAGGGTAATGGTGGGGAGAGGGTCAGCAGGAAAACATGTGAGCAAAGGACTCTGTGTCATAAATAAGTTTAAGGAAAGGTGCTGTGCCTGGATGTGCACATAGGCCAGATTTATGTTTGACTTTACACAAACATCTCAGTGCAGTAAACAGCAGTATTACCACCAGCATGTCTCACCTCCAGCCATAAGGCGGCTTTCTCCTATCTCAGTAAATAGAATGTATGATCGGGTTTTACACCGAGACATTCCATTCCCAGGGATGAGCAGGAGACAGATGCCTTCCTCTTATCTCAACTGCAAAGAGGCCTTCCTCTTTCACTAATCCTCCTCAGCACAGACCCTTTATGGGAATCAGCCTTGGGGACGGTCAGGTCAGGTCCCTTCCCACAAGGCCATGTCTCAGGCTGTCTCTCTCAGTGGGGGGAACCCTTGGACAATACCCAGGCTTTCTTGGGCAGAGGTCCCTGCGGCCTTCCACAGTGCATTGTGTCCCTGGGTACTCGAGACTGGAGAATGGCAATGACTTTCACCAAGCATACTGCCTACAAACACATTTTTAACAAAGCACACCCTGCACAGCCCTAAATCCATTAAACCTTGAGTCAATACAGCACAGGTTTTCTGCGAGCACAGGGTTGGGGCTAGGGTTACAGATTAACAGCATGTCAAGGCAGAAGAATTTTCCTTAGTACAGATCAAAATGGAGTTTCTTATGTCTTCCTTTTTCTACATAGACACAGCAACAGTCTGATTTCTCTTTACTTCCCCCATATTGGCAACCCTAAATAAGGGGAATTCTCAGATGGTTCCCTTGGAAATTGCCTTTCTAATTCTGGGGGATTATTTTCTATAGGCCTACCTGATATGCCTATTTAAAAAGCTGGGCTGATCTTACAGTGCTTGCAAAGGTTTAGTAAAAAAGCCATGCCCTTGTGCAAAAGAAAATGAGTCACTTTTCTCTTCAAAGTCCTGAGGTTAAAGGAGTTCCAGTGTTTCAGAGTGCACTCCAGAGGGGTGCAAGCTGAAGCTGGTCTGTCACCCATCTAGAAAAAGAAGTGAGAATAAAAGTATCCTTTCGTCCCCATTCTTTCATTGTGACCCAGGGTGGAGGAGAAGACAGTGGAAGTGTCCTCCCTACTGTTTTCTCTCCTTGGTTCCTGGGTCCTGGCAACGTGTTAAATGTACCACCCATGGTTGTAGGCGTGGTCCTCCAAGCCGTGGAACTGGATAAACTAAGTGATGGGATTAACCATACTTTACCCACACAACCTTAGCTTATCCACCTTATGTGATCCCCTTTGACGTCCTAAATTTGTGTGATCTGCCTGGCTCCCAGAAAAATGGATCTCCAGAGAGACTATGTCATCTTTGGGTAGGCTCCTTTAACGGAGGCAGTGTGCTAGATTGCCTGCCATTACGGCCCATGCTAAGACATTTACCCTTAGCAAAATGGCTCTGGTTAACTTCCGAACCTAAAATCCCCTTGCTAATTAAGTACTATCCTAATTGGAGACGGAAATGAACGTAGGAACCTAATGGCTGTTTTTCCTGCTGATGAGACAGTATCAGAACTAAAATTTCACTACAGAGGACATTTTACTCCAAACTGTTGAAGACAGTGCTTTCTCGTTCACAGAAGAGGCTTTTCTAGCGGCACGAAAGAATCTGGAAGCGGCAGTGTTACGGTAAAAAACCGACAAGGTGCCTGATGAAGAGGATTTTTATTTCCACTAGGTGGTGCTGTTGGCTTAGCACTACCATGTGCTCGCCAGAGAGGATAGAGAGTAACAGTTACTGCCTGTGGCATTTGCCGATCTTCCCTAACAGGAGTGTTTCCCTGAACTGTAAAACTTCCCGCAAATTGCACACACAGAGAGAGAGGACAGGAGACATAGTGACCACGGATACAAAGGAAAGGAAAATTTTGCAACGGGTTAGCTGGAGATCCATTACCAACACCTGGACAGGCTGTCGGAGGCTGCGTTCAGTCCAGAAGCCTTTGAATAACACCAGGGTGTGCCCTGGCCAGAAATTTTCAGTTGCCCCAAGACTTTCCCAGCCTCATGCGATGGTGAAGTTCTCCATGAAAGGAAACTGGTATGAAGAGATTCTTGAGATTAAAGAACAGATTTGACGTTTGCTCTATACTCACCACTCCGATGTTTCTATCTTCCATTCTGATTTGGATCCCGGATGAGCTCCCAAAATGAAACAGCTCCACTGTCTAGGGTATATACCCTGGTTCTTTACCATAGCCGAAAAGAATTCACAGCACGGACACACACAAGGAGTGGGTTTAGGAGCGGAAAGTTTAATAGAAAAGAGGAGTGAGAGGAAAAGCTTCCTAATGCTGATAAGGCAGGTCACCCAAGAGAGGGTCTCCTGTTTCTGGTGGAAAGCAATTGGTTTTGTACAGAGGCTTGAGGAGGCAGTGATTGATTTACATAGGGCTCAGGGGATTGGTTTGACCAGGTGTGTCATTTACATAACCTGCAAAAAGACTGGCCTTCCCACCTTAGTATTTTATTATACAAATGCGGCCTCCACCTGGTGGCGGCCATGATACCTGTACACGTGCTTTAACCTGGAGGCTGCCTTGACACCTGTAAACGTAGAAGGGAAAGAGGGTGAGAATAGCCATATTGAATTACCTGACTTCCAGGAACAGCTGCCAGCATTTACATAAAAGCTTCTAGTTTGCATATCTATGCCTGAGTTTTCAGGCTGCTTTCTGTTAGAGAAAAAATGGCTTGGGGCTGCTTTTTATTAAAGGAAAATTCCACCCAGAACTTTTACCCTTTTTAGCTGCCTAAAAATAATCTCTTAATAACTCGTGTATTAATTTGGCCAAGAGAGAAATCCCGTGAAGGAGACCAAAAAGCACCAGTGAGCCTCTCACTAAACAAGGACCTTTGTCCTAGAGAAAGAGGAAAGAATGAAGGGGGAGGAGGAGGAGGCTCAGGAGGTCACACCATTGATCCCTCTGTTCCTGGGAAAGTGAAAGGAAGGTCATCTGATAAGAGGGAGAAGATGCACACATTGAGTAAGGATGAGGAGAGTGACATGGGTTTAGGAAAGTTGCTGGCGTAATTGGTTGAGAGAGGTGTCCAAATAAAAGTAATACAATTTGCAAAATCTGTCACTAAGACTTCATAGAGGCCCAAATCAGCGACATGGCAGCATTTTCTTTCATGGTAATCAGCTGCCAGATTGCAGAGACCCCCTGATGCCAGACTAAGGAGTGTGGATTTCTCCTCTAGGCCAGCAGGTCCCCAACCTCACTGCTCAGAAGACTCTCCTTGAGATCCTCTGTGAAGCAAAGATTCCCCCAGACTCACTGCCTAGAGATTCAGATTCCCTAGGTGGGGAGGTCTGGAGATCTGTGTTTTTAATCAGCTCCCAAGTGATTCCCATGTAACCAGATAAGTGTCAGAACACTGAAGATTTTTGAAAATCTTCAGAAATCTTAAAATGACAAGGCTGGAGGCCGGGCGCGGTGGCTCACGCCTGTAATCCCAGCACTTTGGGAGGCCGAGGCGGGTGGATCATGAGGTCAGGAGATCGAGACCATCCTGGCTAACAAGGTGAAACCCCGTCTCTACTAAAAATACAAAAAATTAGCCGGGCGCGGTGGCGGGCGCCTGTAGTCCCAGCTACTCGGGAGGCTGAGGCAGGAGAATGGCGTGAGCCCGGGAGGCGGAGCTTGCAGTGAGCCGAGATTGCGCCACTGCAGTCCGCAGTCCGGCCTGGGCGACAGAGCGAGACTCCGTCTCAAAAAAAAAAAAAAAAAAAAAAAAAAAATGACAAGGCTGGAAATCTGTTTTCAGAAGACTGTGAAGTCAGTTGGAGAGAGCAGGAACCAGAGGCAGGGAGATGAGATAAGAAACTGCTATTATTGTCCAGGGAAATCATAATAAGGGCATGAATTAGAATAAAGAAAAACACAGGGGTAGGGGAGACGGAGGAAAGAGGAGGATAGAAGTTCTGGCCATTCCAGTGTGGATGCCCACCCAAATCTAGAATTAACTGAGCAAAGGCAACTAGAACAAACAGGAATCCTTGCCTTGGTGAAATATATTTGAACTGGGTCAGAAATGAGGCCACTGGGTATCAAGCCTTAGCTGCAGCGCCCCCTGGAGGTCTCTGATGTGCTCCAGGCTGACCAGCTCCCGTCAAAGAAGATGGAGCAAAGTGCTTCTCATGGAATGTTCTGGGACCTTAAAACAGACAACCATATATCCCATGACTTTCATGCTTCCCAGGACACCTATGGGGAAGAAGTTCCACTTAATCTACAGTTGGGATTCAGACATGGGCTGACCAGTCTGATGGATGTTGAGTTTATGGAGGTGGTTGAAGTAGAACGAGAGCCAAGTGCCTCTGAAATAAAATCACATCGAGGGAAGAGGCTGTGAATGTGAATAATCCTGGACACAAGGCAAAAATGCCATAGGGAGTAAGGGTTGGGGGTTAGTTAAAGACTGTTCATTTACCTGGCCCAGGCCCATGTCAGTGTATTTGTGTTCTCAAGAACAGAGTAAATAAGGACCTAGAAGCTCTGATTTGGAACATTCCTGTAATTGAGCTGTTCTCTAGGGGCAGTTGGCCCTTTTCTGCCTTCTGTGGAGGAAAAGGGTACTAGTGGCTGAGGTCCAAAGGAAAAGCTGCAGGTGGTAGCGTGGAAATTGATCTGTAAGCGGCAGAAAAAGAGGGGGCAAAAATAGAGAGGTGCCAAGGCACAGCCAACACCTGGTTATCTGAGAACCTCAATGGATGTGACAACACAGTGCAGAGGAGGAACTTAGGGAAAAGGATGGGATTTCTACTATTTAAGCATGTAGGGGCTCAGGATATTATGTAAATAGGACGATTTTGAGTGTTTGTAGGCGAGGCCAAAAAATCCATAGGTTACTTGCAGAATAAGTCATGTCAAGCTCACTTTATTTTCTTGATATATTTATGAAATATAGTTATTGGATTAATAGACCATGAGAATGTTGTTTATATATATATTAATTTCAAGAAATCATTTGAGCAAATTTTTCATCTTTTGCATCAGGATAGAGCACTCAAAAGATAAGGTAGTGTCGCTGCTGATTAAATATTCTTTGTCCAAAGGCTGTTAATCAGTGGCTGATAGATAAGATTTCTTTTAAATGTGCTACAAACTGGTAAGTTTGTGTGCCTCCTATTCTTCTCAATACTATTTCTATAGTTTCAATACTCCCCTTATCTGCTGACCTAATCACATCATTCCTACTTCTTTTTTTTTTTTTTTTTTTTTTTTTGAGATGGAGTTTCACTCTTGTTGTCCAGGCTGGAGTGCAATGGTGGGATCTTAGCTCATGCAACCTCTGCCTCCGGGGTTCAAGCGATTCTCCTGCCTCAGCCTCCTGAGTAGCTGGGATTACAGGCATGCACCACCACACCCAGCTAATTTTGTATTTTTAGTAGAGACAGGGTTTCTCCATGTTAGTCAGGCTGGTCTCGAACCACCTGCCTCAGCCTCCCAAAGTGCTGGGATTACAGGTGTAAGCCACTGCGCCTGGCCATCATTCCTATTTTCAACATCTAGAAATCAATTCCATAATGAGCATGTCTAAGAAATAATAATCTCAAATGCTATTCCACTTTTCCACTTCGCCACTCCTAGTCCAGCCTAGGGTGAACATCTCCCCTCCAAGAAGGAGCCCCAGCAGCACCACGACCTGCTTGTCTACCACGTGACAGATTTCTACCCAGACAGCATTCAAGTCCGATGCTTCCTGAATGGACAGGAGGAAACAGCTGGGGTCGTGTCCACCAACCTGATCCGTAATGGAGACTGGACCTTCCAGATCCTGGAGATGCTGGAAATGACCCCCCAGCAGGGAAACATCTACACCTGCCAAGTGGAGCACCCCAGCCTGGACAGTCCTGTCACCGTGGAGTGGAGTGAGGGTCTGATGACCCTCTAGACTCCACCTCTGAAGAGCAGGGGACTCTCTGGCTCTGGGGTCCACTCATCTGGTTTTATGTGTCTATACCCTGGGACCATGTCCGACCCCATTTTTCTTCTATAGAAGACACTGAGTGTAGTTTTAACCTGGGGACAATGGAGACTTGCCTGCCCCCGGCCTAGGAGGTCCTAAGGATTCATAGTTCCTCTCCTTGTCCAAGAATCTAGGGATGCAGACACCTTCCTGAACTGACGTTACACATGGGAACTGTTGTCTTCCTTCAGCCTTTTAGCTTATTCTAAGTTATTTTGAGAGGCAACTAATTGAATCTGAATTTGTCTGTTGTTGAGGTCACACCCTCTGTTCTAGAATTGAGAGAGTGACTGTTTCTCAGTTTCCTGTCATGCAAGGTGTATTCCCCTCGCTCTCCTCGTGCCAATATTCTGCATCAGGCTGCAGGATCTCAGACAGGACATGAGCAGGGGTGCAGCTGCTGGAGGTGACTCTGAACCTGAGCCTGTTCTTCCTAGAGGCACAGTCTGATTCTGTGCAGAGCAAGATGCTGACAGGAGCCAGGGGCTTCATGCTGGGGCTCATCATCTGTGGAGTGGACATCTTCACGCACAGAAGGAGGAAGAAAGGTGAGAAATCCTGTGAGGTGACCGATACCCACCTTTCTCCTGACTTGCTCACCCTTCTTCCATGATGAGGGGCTGAGACAAAAAAGCAATGCCAGAGAGCTTGCTGAAATCACATAGTCAGGAAACAAAGACAGCTTCTAAGGAGAGAGGAATCCCAGCCTGGCATCTTAATGCAGCCAGATGCATGAGGTCCCAGTTACTCAGGCTCCTGCAGAGCGTCCATTGAGTGATGGACAATGGAAGTATGATGGAAACGTTTCTCTAATTGTCTGAGGTGGTTTCAGTAGCTGAATACATTCTCTTTCTTCCTTTCATTTCAGTTCAACAAGGATCTGCATAAACAGGCAATATTCCTGCTTTGATTTCCTTGTTGGGGGAGTTACAGGAGGACATAAGTCCTTTCTGTACATTGTGACACTGAGGCTCCTCTAGGAAGAGAGTCTCAGGCCTGAACCCCTGTTTCAACCTCAGCCCTGGGGTGAGTGGGGAAAGAGCATTGCATGGCTCCATTGCTAAAGGAAGCTCAGATCAACTCTATTCTTTATCAGCCTGAGATTCAGCCTCTCACCGTTATTTTTCTCTCCTGGGACTTAAAGGAAGGGGGCCAGCAACCTGGGATTACTGTTTTTTACCTCCACAGGGTTGCTGACCTTGCCTAAAAGACTAATGTACCTTGGAACAAGCATTTTCTGTTTCTTTAGTCCCAGTACCTGCTTCGAGGACAGACCCCCAGCCTCCCAAGAGGATGCTGCTGCTGAGTAGTTGCACTGAAGCCAGTTTCTATCATTCTGTTCCTGGATTCAATGCATGATTTCTCTCATGGGGCCTCCAACCAAGTTCCTTTCTCCTTAGTGCCATGAGTAATCAAAACCCAACATGATTGTTTTCTGTTAAGAATATACACCAAGTCATGTCTCATCACTTTTTTTTCTTGAGGGTTTTAGCAAACAGTAAGAGTTAATAAAGAAGTTCATTGTGGTTTAGACATAAGAAAGAAGAAAACCATGAAAATCCATCCAAACTATTGTATAAGGTGGCCTGTTGGACATAGACCTCTCCTGGATTTACTATATTTCAGTGAGCTGCCCCATCCTCATGTTTGGTGTCTTCATCCATTTAGGTCTGAAACCACTATTCTTAGCTATTCAGTGGTGAACAGACTGCAAATCTGTGTTATAGGGCCCATATTAACATAGCACTGATTCAACATATAACTTACTAAGAGCATGTTTTAGCATTACTGTTAAGAAATTAAATAAGCATCAGAATTTAAAACGATAAATATAATCTAACACACTTTCAACACTTTCTTTGCATGCCATCACAAATACTCCTTAACCAAATGTTGCTTGGCCTTTTGAATGCATCAAGTAGACGACATTTATCCTCTAAGTCTGCATTCATTCACCAGCCTAGACCTCCTGAGCTAATAATTCATACAGTGAGAAACGCCTCCCCATTGTTGAAAGTGCAAAGCAATAGGTGTGGCACTCTTTCAAACACTGATCTTTTTTTTACAATCCAAAATTTTTATGTGTTTTGCATTTCATATTAAGTTACTGTAAATCAAGGTAGAAGACATGTTTGGTCTAAGCTTTCCTTTTCGTGTAGAGGATGGATTCTTAACTCCTGATACACATAATGAGCACTCAGTGGCTCTCTGATACATCCAGTTGTTGGCTTCCTTCTCCCTGACTTCTCACAAGCAGCTTCTGGGCCTTGTGTGCCCCTGGGCGCCTATCCCTGGTCAGTTTACCAGAGCTACCCGTGTTCCTCTCACTATCCAATCAGAGTCATCTCCTTCCATTTTTGTCCCCTGGACGCATGCTGTAGGTGTCAGCCGTACCCAGAGTGGAGTGAACAATCTGCAGACTAACTCTTGCAGGATGCAAAACTGAGGTATCTGCACCCATAATGCACCTGTATCCTACAATTACAAGTCCAGGATATGCATTCCTAGGAAACTGAGAATATAAGGAGTCACAGAAAGGCATCAGATGTGTCTAGCTCTGACATACACAGGTATTTATTGAACTCTGGGATTTCTCAGGAAAAATGCAGTGCAGAGAAAGGTTCCTGATGAGACCACAGCATACAGACCATCCAGTGTGGGCACCACCTTGTCACTACACTTTAAATTCTTCATATTGATTGAGGGCTATCTAAATGTCAGACCCTTTGCTGAGTGCTAGGTGCAGGAGGATCATAGGCAGCCAGGAGGTAGAGGGGTCTTGGGGTACATAAGTCATTGTGGTTGAAGAGCAGAGATTCAAAAAGAAGTTAGGCCTGGAGATTTAAAGGAGACCGAAGCTGGTGACTTCCTTATGTCAACTTCTGGCTGAGAAAGTTTGACACCTGGAGTAGAATAAACACAGTGGGGTTAGGACTGCCAGCTTAGTGTTTTGTCCCCCATCCCTTTCCATCCCTGGTCCCTTCATTTTCTGACCCTCACAGTGTGAATAAACTGTCACAGATGCCAGACCATCTCCTTCTTGTCCAGGTGCACAAATAACTGCTCATCTTCATCAGATTCAAACATATACTCCCCAGAGGGTCTGTGTGTCTGCACAAACTCTGCATACGTTGACACATGGTCTGCTGCATGAAGGGGAAGAAGACTGCAGAATGATGAACACATAGGAAACTACACAGAATACAAGAAGCAAGCAGGTAATGGGAAAGTTTTTAGGAATGCAAGGGAATAACACAGAAAATGAGAAATGCAAAAATGAATGAAAAGAAAAGGAATGGGGATAAACAATGATAGAAATGACTCATAGAAGATTTCAGTTGTTTCCCTGGTCTCTGAAGACTAACCAACCCTCACATCATTCCAATAATGATAACACTGAACACAATCAGAAAATATTCACTGAACTTGTACCATGTGCTCAACTTATTCATTGAATCCTCACACTTCCACGTAGAAGTGTTCAAAGAAGGCCGGGCACGGTGGCTCACCCCTGTAATCAGCTGGGCATGGTGGCAGGTGCCTGTAGTCCCAGCTACTCAGGAGGCTGAGGCAGGAGAATGGCGTGAACCCGGGAGGTGGAACTTGCAGTGAGCCGAGATCGCGCCACTGCACTCCAGTCTGGGAGATAGAGTGAGACTCCTTCCCGAAAAAAAAAAAAAAAAAAAAAAAGAAGTGTTCAAAGAAAAACTTCTGGCCAGGCACGGTGGCTCACTCCTGTAATCCCAGCACTTTGGGAGGCTGAGGCAGGTGGTTCACTTGAGGTCAGGAATTCAAGATCAGCCTGGCCAACATGGTGAAACCCCTTTGTCTCTACTAAAGATACAAAAATTAGCCAGGCATGGTGTCTGTAGTCCCAGCTACTTGGGAGGCTGAGTCAGGAGAATCACTTGAACCGGGAGGAGGAGGTTACAGTGGGCTGAGATTGCGCCACTGCACTCCAGACTGGGTGACGGAGTGAGACTCTGTCTCGAAAAAAAAAAACAGAAAAAAGAAAAAAAGAAAAACTTCAGCTGAATTCAATTTAAAAGAGTCAAATTGAGCAATGAACGATTCATGAATCAGGCAGCCTCCCGAGGCAGAGTAGGCTCAGAGACTCCATTGCAGGCATGTGGTGGAAGATTTATGGACAGAAAAAGGAAAGTGACATACAGAAAACAGAAGTGAGGTACAGAAACACCCAATTGATTACAGCTGGGTGTATCCTTATTTGAACACAGTTTGAACAGTTGGCTACATATGATTGGCTGAAACTTGGTGATTGACACAAGTGTAGGCTGTTTACACCTCCACTTGTTATAGTTCACGATGTACAGAGAAACCTTTAGGCCAAACTTAAAATATGTAAGGAGGCAGCTTTAGGCTAAACTTGATTTAACAATTTTCCTCTTTTGGTAATCTTCTCAATTTTTAGAGATTTACCAAAACTTCAGTCATCGATGCCACTATCACCATTGTAAATGTACTTATTTGGTCTTGAAACCCCCTGGGAAATAGCAGAACAATGAGTTTTGTAAGGGGGAACAAGGATTTCAGGTTATTTTATTTTATTTTAATTTTATTTTTGAAGGGTTAGATTACAGGGTACCTCCTTTTGTTGGAACGTTCTGTTTATAGGAGAAAAAAACAAAACCTGGCCTGTTTTAGGATCTATGTGTTTCCTTAAAGTCTTAGTTTAATCATGTCACATTTAGCACAAGTGACTCCATTTTGGTTTGGTCTGGTCTGTTGGGGCTTAGTGCATTTGGCCTTTCATTAAAGTCCAAAACAATGGCCTGCCATGATTTTGTTTAAAAATGTCCCCTTTTTGGTCAGGTTCTCACTTAGGTGAGAATGTGACCAAAGCTTAGGGCCTTAGCGCCACTCTCAGTTACCATCATTTTGGGTTTCCAGTCTCGACACATCATTCATAGGTTAAAGTGCCCTCATGGTCACACATTTCTTTCAATCTTGTCATTCTAGTTGAAGAGAGACAATTTGACATTCTAGAGATGGCTGCATGCAAACATTTAAAACTTTCGAGAGAATACAGTGCACCAGATAGACTACTATTATGACTATCAGGAGGATAATACCAAGAGTTTGGAGTATGCTCCTTACACAGGGTCCCCATAAACCAAACCACCCAAAATTAAATAGATCAAAGAATGAGCTAAATAAAGAGTTTACTCATTTAAGCAGTCTCTTCATTAATTACCTACAACTGAATCTCTGTAATACCTGACGTGATGTATTTCTCCATAGGCCACAAGTGCCAGCAGCTGCACAGATACTTCTCTGTTTAGCCAGTAAGTAATCTACAGCAATCCTACTATTAAGCATAACTTTCACAAAAGAATGTAAAATCTGTTGTGTAACCATAGCCCTTACAGTAGACTCTGTTTAGAGCCTCTCATGAGGGATACATTTCTAATCATTGCCTGTTTTACTCCAAATCATGGTAAAAAGGACCTAAGGAACAATGCCCTTCTAGAAGACTGAAGGCCTCCTGGCAATGTTCTCTTTAACCCATGATGTGGAATAGGGGAGTGAATCAATGTTCTGTTTCTGACTGATTATGAGGCAACCTATGTACCATTAAAATTTCTCACCTACACTGGGCCTTCATCTTTCATCTATCAAGGTGTGAGGTTATCCATGTATAAGGCTGGCTGCAAAACCCTTCACCAATAAAAGTATACCTACTCCATGAGTGCACACAACAGACCCCCTTTTCACTTCTACTGTTCATAGAGGCATAAGCAAGGGAAAAAGTACTCAAAGATAAGAGCCTCCATATAGCAGAGAAGTCTTGATCTGTGATCTTGGTAAAAGCTGTTCACATCAAGGATACCATCTTCTTCTAGGGAGAAACTTCCCTGGTTAGCTTTACCTTACGGGTTCCAATGGGTGTATATTTCCAAGAATGTGGAGGGATCCTTCTCAGTTGTGAGATTATGAAGCCAAGGTTCATGGTTCTGATGTTTGCTGCAGTGTGGATGGCAAGGGCAGTCTTTCTCTGATGTTCTCAGAAGATCCAATCTTCAGGTTCTAGATTGTGAAGGGGTTGATTGTCCTCAGTCAGTGAACCATAAAAAGCTTTCTTTACCTGGTGAAAATACACTGTGAAATAATAATCTACTGTTATAACATCAGTTCACTTGTATAGGAAAGCTTTTACACAACCAGAAAACATGCATTGAAAATGACAATTGACTGAAATCTCTTCATAAATGTTTAAACGGCTCATGAGGTAGCAGAATGTACCTGAAGCTTTGATTGTCTTCCCAGGAATATGGGTTTGGCAAACCAAACATTGGTCATAAACTATTTTAGCAATTTAGAAGTCACCACACCAATATGCATTTAACTTGGATCATTTTATCTTTTCCATGATGAGTCATGGAATGCAGAACTTTAAATTATAAAAGCTTTAAAAGCTCAGGAAGGATAAGGCAGCCACCTTGGTTCTCCATGAGTCCATGCTTGACACGGTTGTTTCTCCAATTGAGGTGCATAGCACTGATAACTGATGGGTTATCATAGGTAATTTGAGTTAGACCACAGAGTTTATTCAAATTGTGTATCTAAACAATTTCAGTATTGGGTGATTTAGCATGAAAGACTTGCAAAGTATTTTCTTGGTATTCAATTAATTTGTGTTCTACTTGGGATGGCAGTTTTATAAACCAGTCAGTCTTTTAAGCTCCAGGAAGCAGGAGAATGGCGTGAACCTGGGAGGCGGAGCTTGCAGTGAGCCAAGATCATGCCACTGCACTCCAGCCTGGGCGACAGAGTGAGACTCCGTCTCAAAAAAAAAAAAAAGCTCCAGGAATTCTTACCCAGTAAAGATGATATGATTCTAAAGTTATCAGAAACCTGTAATCAAGAATACTTTTGGGGGTCCTTTCCATCCTTTCAGGAACCTCCTAAGAGACACCATATTCTAGAACTGTGCCTACTTGTGAAGTTTTCAGAAATTGCACCAGCATTAAGCAATTAACTGTGGAAATGACCTTCCTTCCTTCCTTCCCTCCTTCCTTCCTTCCTTCCCTCCCTCCTTCCTTCCTTCCTTCCTTCCACTCTCTCTCTCTTTCTTTCTTTCCTTTATTTTGAGACAGAGTATCACTCTGTCGCCCATGTTGGAGTGCAGTGGTGCAATCTCGGCTCACTGCAACTCCGCCTTCCAGGCTCAAGCAATTCTCATGCCTCAGACTCTCCAGTAGCTGGAACTACAGGTGTGCAGCACTGCACCAGGCTAATTTTTGTATTTTTAGTAGAGACTGAGTTTCACCCTGT